>NC_000010.11:91203701-91506731 GCF_000001405.40 Homo sapiens | reverse complement strand
AATAGTTTCAGAAGGAATGGTACCAGTTCCTCCTTGTACCTCTGGTAGAACTCGGCTGTGAATCCATCTGGTCCTGGACTCTTTTTGGTTGGTAAGCTATTGATTATTGCCACAATTTCAGATCCTGTTATTGGTCTATTCAGAGATTCAACTTCTTCCTGGTTTAGTCTTGGGAGAGTGTATGTATCAAGGAATTTATCCATTTCTTCTAGATTTTCTAGTTTATTTGCGTAGAGGTGTTTGTAGTATTCTCTGATGGTAGTTTGTATTTCTGTGGGATCAGTGGTGATATCCCCTTTATCATTTTTTATTGCATCTATTTGATTCTTCTCTCTTTTTTTCTTTATTAGTCTTGCTAGCGGTCTATCAATTTTGTTGATCCTTTCAAAAAACCAGCTCCTGGATTCATTAGTTTATTGAAGGGTTTTCTGTGTCTCTATTTCCTTCAGTTCTGCTCTGATTTTAGTTATTTCTTGCCTTCTGCTAGCTTTTGAATGTGTTTGCTCTTGCTTTTCTAGTTCTTTTAATTGTGATGTTAGGGTGTCAATTTTGGATCTTTCCTGCTTTCTCTTGTGGGCATTTAGTGCTATAAATTTCCCTCTACACACTGCTTTGAATGTGTCCCAGAGATTCTGGTATGTTGTATCTTTGTTCTCGTTGGTTTCAAAGAACATCTTTATTTCTGCCTTCATTTCGTTATGTACCCAGTAGTCATTCAGGAGCAGGTTGTTCAGTTTCCATGTAGTTGAGTGGCTTTGAGTGAGATTCTTAATCCTGAGTTCTAGTTTGATTGCACTGTGGTCTGAGAGATAGTTTGTTATAGTGTCTGTTCTTTTACATTTGCTGAGGAGAGCTTTACTTCCAAGTATGTGGTCAATTTTGGAATAGGTGTGGTGTGGTGCTGAAAAAAATGTATATTCTGTTGATTTGGGGTGGAGAGTTCTGTAGATGTCTATTAGGTCTGCTTGGTGTGGAGCTGAGTTCAATTCCTGGGTATCCTTGTTGACTTTCTGTCTCGTTGATCTGTCTAATGTTGACAGTGGGGTGTTAAAGTCTCCCATTATTAATGTGTGGGAGTCTAAGTCTCTTTGTAGGTCACTCAGGACTTGCTTTATGAATCTGGGTGCTCCTGTATTGGGTGCATATATATTTAGGATAGTTAGCTCTTCTTGTTGAATTGATCCCTTTACCACTATGTAATGGCCTTCTTTGTCTCTTTTGATCTTTGTTGGTTTAAAGTCTGTTTTATCAGAGACTAGGATTGCAACCCCTGCCTTTTTTTGTTTTCCATTTGCTTGGTAGATCTTCCTCCATCCCTTTATTTTGAGCCTATGTGTGTCCCTGCATGTGAGATGGGTTTCCTGAATACAGCACACTGATGGGTCTTGACTCTTTATCCAATTTGCCAGTCTGTGTCTTTTAATTGGAGCATTTAGTCCATTTACATTTAAAGTTAATAGTGTTATGTGTGAATTTGATCCTGTCATTATGATGTTAGCTGGTTACTTTGCTCGTTAGTTGATGCAGTTTCTTCCTAGTCTCGATGGTCTTTACATTTTGGCATGATTTTGCAGCGGCTGGTACCGGTTGTTCCTTTCCATGTTTAGTGCTTCCTTCAGGAGCTCTTTTAGGGCAGGCCTGGTGGTGACAAAATCTCTCAGCATTTGCTTGTCTGTAAAGTATTTTATTTCTTCTTCACTTATGAAGCTTAGTTTGGCTGGATATGAAATTCTGGGTTGAAAATTCTTTAAGAATGTTGAATATTGGTCCCCACTCTCTTCTGGCTTGTAGGGTTTCTGCCAAGAGATCCGCTGTTAGTCTGATGGGCTTCTCTTTGAGGGTAAACCGACCTTTCTCTCTGGCTGCCCTTAACATTTTTTCCTTCATTTCAACTTTGGTGAATCTGACAATTATGTGTCTTGGAGTTGCTCTTCTCGAGGAGTATCTTTGTGGTGTTCTCTGTATTTCCTGAATCTGAATGTTGGCCTGCCTTGCTAGATTGGGGAAGTTCTCCTGGATAATATCCTGCAGAGTGTTTTCCAACTTGGTTCCATTCTCCCCGTCACTTTCAGGTACACCAATCAGACGTAGATTTGGTCTTTTCACATAGTCCCATATTTCTTGGAGGCTTTGCTCGTTTCTTTTTATTCTTTTTTCTCTAAACTTTCCTTCTCGCTTCATTTCATTCATTTCATCTTCCATTGCTGATACCCTTTCTTCCAGTTTATCGCATTGGCTCCTGAGGCTTCTGCATTCTTCACGTGGTTCTCGAGCCTTGGTTTTCAGCTCCATCAGCTCCTTTAAGCACTTCTCTGTATTGGTTATTCTAGTTATACATTCTTCTAAATTTTTTTCAAAGTTTTCAACTTCTTTGCCTTTGGTTTGAATGTCCTCCCGTAGCTCAGAGTAATTTGATCATCTGAAGCCTTCTTCTCTCAGCTTGTCAAAGTCATTCTCCGTCCAGCTTTGTTCTGTTGCTGGTGAGGAGCTGCGTTCCTTTGGAGGAGGAGAGGCGCTCTGATTTTTAGAGTTTCCAGTTTTTCTGCTCTGTTTTTTCCCCATCTTTGTGGTTTTATCTACTTTTGGTCTTTGATGATGGTGATGTACAGATGGGTTTTTGGTGTGGATGTCCTTTCTGTTTGTTAGTTTTCCTTCTAACAGACAGGACCCTCAGGTGCAGGTCTGTTGGAGTACCCTGCAGTGTGAGGTGTCAGTGTGCCCCTGCTGGAGGGTGCCTCCCAGTTAGGCTGCTCGGGGGTCAGGTGTCAGGGACCCACTTGAGGCGGCAGTCTGCCTGTTCTCAGATCTCCAGCTGCGTACTAGGAGAACCCCTGCTCTCTTCAAAGCTGTCAGACAGGGACATTTAAGTCTGCAGAGGTTACTGCTGTCTTTTTGTTTGTCTGTGCCCTGCCCCCAGAGGTGGAGCCTACAGAGGCAGGCAGGCCTCCTTGAGCTGTGGTGGGTTCCACCCAGTTCGAGCTTCCTGGCTGCTTCGTTTACCTAAGCAAGCCTGGGCAATGGTGGGCGCCCCTCCCCCAGCCTCGCTGCCGCCTTGCAGTTTGATCTCAGACTGCTGCGCTAGCCATCAGCGAGACTCCGTGGGGTAGGACCCTCCGAGCCAAGTGCGGGATATAATCTCGTGGTGCACCGTTTTTTAAGCCCGTCGGAAAAGCGCAGTATTCGGGTGGGAGTGACCCGATTTTCCAGGTGCTGTCCGTCACCCCTTTCTTTGATTAGGAAAGGGAACTCCCTGACCCCTTGCGCTTCCCGAGTGAGGCAATGCCTCGCCCTGCTTCGGCTCGCGCACGGTGTGCGCACCCACTGACCTGCGCCCACTGTCTGGCACTCCCTAGTGAGATGAACCCGGTACCTCAGATGGAAATGCAGAAATCACCCATCTTCTGCGTCGCTCAGGCTGGGAGCTGTAGACTGGAGCTGTTCCTATTCGGCCATCTTGGCTCCTCCCTCATTTTTTGACTTTTTAATATAACAATAGCCATTCTGACCGCTGTGAGATGGTATCTCATTGTGGTTTTGATTTGCATTTCTCTAATGATTAGTGATGTTGAGCATTTTTTCATATGCTTATTGGCTGCATGTTGCCTTCTTTTGAAAAGTGTCTGTTCATGTCCTTTGCCCACCTTTTAATGGAATTACCATTCTTATTTAACAAAAATCTAGTGAATGAATATTCAATGGTGGACCTTATAAGATGAATGGAAACTCCTCTTTCAGCTGGAGTGTTGTCCTTGTCTTTTGAGGCATACCATTATTATGTCAAATTGAAATGTTGTATGTCTTTGATAGTCAGCTTTATTTAATATATGTGAGATTCCACTGGGAATCCTAGAGGTTCTAGATTCATGTTGAAGCCATGTTAGCTCACATATTCTTGAAATAATAATAATTATTGGGAAAGTTTAGAAGTAATGTCACCTTTGTATTAAAACAGATTGCTCAGATTACTCTTTTAAAATTGGAAATGTTTTTAATATAAAATAAAATATTCTGAAAAATTAACTTCTGTTATGCAAAAAATCTATAATCTAAAAAAATCCTCTTGAATTTTTTCATTTTAGGACTTTAATTGTAAATTTTGTTTAGAAATTTAATTATATATGTAAATATTTATTTTGTGTTTTAAATATAATCTTGATGATGACATAAATACTATTGAAGAAATAGCTATTGGGCACTTACCATGTGTGATTACTTGGAGCATACAAATATGTATAAGGCATAACCTCTTTCTTGAAGAACTAAATGACTCAGATATAAAGTGCAACATGGTAACTAGCACATAACTTCTACAAGATATTTGAGAAACTCAATACATAATGACTTTTGGCTTTACAGAGGAAGTCAACATTAAACTGTGTCTTTAATAGTCATAGCTGGCACATCACATGTAAAGGGAACAACTTGAAAGCATGGAGGAAGAAAGGCATAAAATATATCTAAGGAACCAGCAAACAGCCTGTTGACTAAAGCATAGAAAGAAATGAAAACTGGTAGATAGCCTGGGGTAGAAGACTAGAGCTTTATTTTACAGTCTCTGGATTCTAGAACTTAAACTGGCAATAAAGTTATTTCCCACGGAAATATGATCTAAATAGTGTTAAAGCACATGAGTTTAATAGGATAAAATAAGCTAGTAATGAAGATAAAAAGTAACTTTACCAAGGTAGAGGCAGTGGAAAAGCAAAGAACAGATTCCAGCTTTAAAATGAAAGGAAGAACTAAGAGCACTTAGGGAATGTTCAATGTATGGGGCAGGAGACAAAAATGATTATAATCAAAGTTATGTCTATTCAAGTTAGCTTTAGAAATTATAAGTTATTTGGGAAAAGGAGTAAGTTGATAAGCATTAATGCATTAACACTGCTAGAAAATAATTTAAATCCATCATCACCATCACTTCATATACAAAAAGCATGAGATTAAAAAAAAAAAGAGGATTAGTATTAGAGGTACTTCTGGTAATAATTATAGTATCCCCCAACCCCCTAGAAAAGAAAGAAAACTCCACAAACAAACCAGATATCCCAACTTAATGATTTTCCTAAAAATAAAAAACACATTTCACATTTAAATAAAAATGAACATTAGACAATCTACTACTACAAAGTAACTAGGTTCTAAAAGAGTCTACAAAGCACTTATATGACCTAGCAAAGTAAAAAGTTGTTAGAAATGAATTATTAGTTAGTATGTCTCAAAAACTAGTAAGAGAACTTTTAATCAAAATCTCTTACATTTCAAGGCCATGTTTACTCTGAAGATTTTTCTATGAAAATAACTTCAAACGGAGTACACATCCTGATTCCAAATGTATTATCATTAGCAGTATTAGCAGTAACCTTTAGATTTAAAATAAAATTAGATCCAGAAATTTACCAGTTAGTAGAAGTTTCATTCTTTGAGATTTTAAAGTTCAAATCAGCCATCCCTCCTACAGGTACTCTGTCACTCCCTGTAGTAAAATGTAGCAACTTCTTTTGAAGATCAAGAGGAAATCCAAGCACAACATCCCAAAAGTATCTAGAGAATACCAAAGGAAATTAACATCAAATGTCTTGACAAAAATCCTATAATAAAGTAATATAAAGGAAGCTCTAAGGAAAGGACTTTCCTTAAGCATACATAATATCCTGAATTTCTGTAAAATTAAGGAATGGTGAGCTTCTATATACGTATTAGACTTTTGACTAACATTATAAAATAATATTTTTATAAAAGTATATAAGTTCAGCAGTGGATAGTACAGGAACCATTTTTCTCCTGCATAACTTTCAAGTCTTATTTTTCAACATAGTGCTATTAAACTGTTATTTACAAGGATAGCATCCATGAAATTCTAGGAGCAAAGTCATTTTTTTAAAAGTAAAATCTCTACACTTTTGTAGAAACTTGCTTATAGAATTTTCTCCCAAAGGGAGTGATTTCATATTAAAATTCTCATAGACTTTCCAGAGATAAAATAAGACTGTGGGACTCTCTAATATTTTGACTAACTTAATTGATTCAAAGATTGTAAGTTATGCAAATAAATGAACCACACTGTCTGCTGTTCCCTCTCCACATCCCCCACTATCAGAAGTATAAAGAGCTCACTTTATAGTTAAGTCCGTTTTTGCATAGCCATCATACTGAGTACTTCTCTGCAGAGCATGCATATCCAGGTCAGGACTTCCACAGACCAAAATTTCAACCTCTTCTGGACGAAGCAGCTGCCAATAATTATTTATCAAAAACAATAATTAAAGAGTGATGGTTTTAAGTGAAACTGGAACTATTTTCACTGGATCAAATCACAAAAGTCATGATTTCTCATAGTAAATCAAACCATTTTTGTTGAAGAAAAATCGACTCTGGGTATATTTTTCCTGCCAAGGCAAGATATTTTTGCTTCCGAAGTTTATAGATCTTGTAAATAGTAATTAGCCGTTTGCCAGAAAAACAAGCAAATTACTTTGCACAAATCCAAATTACTCTTCTCCAAAAACCAGCATGAAGCTCCAACATCTACTGATCCACCTAATATCCCGTATCCTAGTATCTCCTTCCAATATCCCATAACACCTCCTGTGTGCACTGTAGAGTTTGGGCACTTGGTTATAGTCTGTCTTGTGTCTCTTGTTTTTTTCAACTTTCAGGTGGGTTAGTCTACCGCCTACAGAGATTAAAGCTCTAAAACACAGAGACCATGCTATGCTATTTAATTCTTATTTTCCCTCTGTCCACTCCCACAATTACCAGAGTGTCATAAACAAAACTTAACTAGAGCTCAATAAAGTGTTTCTCTTTCAAAGGTATTTTCGACAACAAACATATTACAAAGGTTTCTCTAAAACAAGCTGGCAATAATGTAAGCCACTTGGTTTTGCCCCAAAGCAACTTCTATAGTCCATTTCTCTCTCCCATGAAAAATAATTCAAATGAAAGATCTTACTCCAATCCCTCATAATGAAACTAAGGGAGGTATAAATGGCATGATGAAAGTGTGTGCTGGGTAGCTGGGGTGACTGAAAGGTATCCTATGATACTTCTGACATGGTATTCTAAATAGTAGCTGATCCATATTCACATGGCTAAGACAAGTCAGACCAAACTGAGTCCACCATAACTCTAGAGATAAACTACTTGCTAAGGGTAAAAGGCAATGCAGAGTTGCTGAGGGAGCCCTGAGGTAGCAGGAAGCAGCTATACATATGTTCCTTAATCATTAAGAAGTTGTAACTTTTACCCTGGAGCTACATGTTAACTGCGTTGTGTGCCTTGTCCTTCAGTATTAAGATCCTGAGTCCATGGATCCCTTCATCCACTCTACTTGGAGAAAGTTTGTAAAGCTCTAAAAGACTTAGTAGAAGGGGAGAGAAAATGAACTGACTGGGGTGTTTTTCCCCTCTAAAGAATTAAGACTGAAATGAGAGAACTATTTTTGTTTTTAGTTCTACTTTTAAAAAGTAGAAAATATTTTCTATTTTAAAAGCTTATCTACTAAAATATTTATTAATTATTTGTTAACATGATAGTACTACAAAAGCTAACCGAAAGCTTGATTTAAAGTTATAAACTCACCATTAGGGCATTTGAAGCACACACACTATGAAATCCATAATAAAATGCAGCAAACTGCTTATAGATGGATTTGTTCAGAAGGAAGTCAGTATAAAGCTGTACATATTCTGAAAAGCAATTTTACATCTCTTAAATAGTAAAAGTAAATGGCAAATACTAATTCATTTTAATTAAAAAGGGTATTAACTTACCTTTTCTATTTTGATTGGTAACTGAAATTTTATCACCACCGGGCTTTAAATTATAGGACTTGATTATTCCAAATTCTTCTTGAAAAACCTGATGGGAGATGCCATTACACATATTAATATGGTTGATATAATAACATACTTTGGTGAACAGGTTTGTAAAATTTAAAAAACAGTTTTTTTCCCCCTTCCTTCTAAACACATAAACTATAAAAGGCTAAGCTCTTGCAATATTTGTATTAAGAACGAGGGATCATAAAAGAATTATGGAGTTAAAAAATAGTGCCTTAACTTAACCCTGCCTAATACAGTTAAATACTTTAATGAAGTCCACAAAACTGTGTGGACATCTAGATAATACACAGCGGGTCCCTGGAGCTCTGCAGATCACTGTAATGTCCATTTCCCAAATACTGTAAAAGGAGTGGAAATCAGAGAGTTTTGGTCTGACTCATTAGTTTCTACTCCTAGCTTCTAATGTTGAAGTTACAGGAGAGGCTTATTTTTAGAAACTAAAAAGCTCTGAGAAAGTAACCAACTCAAGGGGATATGTAATTGCCTAGAGAGTACTCTGAACCCTTAGTGAATTTCATTAAGCACTTTCATTGACTGCTCATCTACACATGTCTACTTTATCAGGTTAAGGTCCTTTAAGACAGAGGATTGTATGTATTGGTTAATCCTTGTTCATCTTTTCTAACAGTGGGTATTTAATAACAAATTGCACTGTTCATATATGAAATATATGATTAACAGATAACTACTTGCCCTTAATAGTACCTGAAATGTTGAATAGAAATCTTCTTCAACATTGCCTTCATGTGATAAGAGTTCACTTAATCCATGGGCCAACTCCTATAAAAAGAAATCTGTTAATGATTTTTTCAATAGAATAGCATTAGCTAGGATAATGAAGTGGCTTTTCTATAGCTCATGCATATGTATATAAAGATCATATTTGACATGTATTTTCCAGGGCACAAAATGGTTAATGATTTCTACCATCCAGAGGCTAAGAAAAAAATCATTATAGGTCATAGATGGGGAAACTATCCAGTTCAAACTACAGGGGCATAACTCTGGGGTCTACTCTTAAGCAGCAAGCTAAGCATACCTCTAATGTAGTGTCTGTCATAATTCACTGCTATCTGCCACATTACTGTTTATGAATTTGTAGTATTTCTCACTTTCAATTTATATTCCTATGAAAATCTGCTAATGTTTTTGGATTCATATTTTAAACATAAAACACACAGTTCATTCATGTGCATTCATGAATATACAGTTCATACATGCACAGTGCCCTCCCCTCCCAAGAAAAAGTTAAGTATACTGAAAGAAACATTTTCTGGTTAGCCGGGCACGGTGGCTCATGCCTGTAATCCCAGCACTCTGGGAGGCCGAGGTGGGCAGATCACAAGGTCAGGAGTTCAAGACCAGCCTGGCCAACATGGTGAAACCCTGTCTCTACTAAAAATCCAAAAAAAAAAAAAAAAAAAAAAAAAATAGCCAGGTGTGGTGGCTCACACCTGTAATCCCAGCTATTCGGGAGGCTGAGGCAGGAGAATTGCTCGGACCTGGGAGGTGGAGGTTGCAGTGAGCTGAGATTGTTCCACTGCATTCTAGCCTGGACAACAGAGCAAGACTGTCTTGGGCAGAAAAAAAAAAAAAAAAAGAAACATTTTCTGGCTGGGCTCAGTGGCTCATGCCTGTAATCCCAGCACTTTGGGAGGCTGAGGCAGGCGGATCACTTGAGGCCATGAGTTCGAGACCAGCCTGGCCAACATGGCAAAACCCCGTCTCTGCTAAAAAAAAAAAAAAAAAAAAAAAAAAAAATTTGCCGGGCACGGTGGCACATGCCTAAAATCCCAGATACTCAGGAGGCTGAGGCACGAGAATCACTTGAACCCAGGAGGCGGAGGTTGCAGTGAGCCAAGGTGGAGCCACTGCACTCCAGCCTGGGTGACAGAGTGAGATTCTGTCTCAAAAAAAAAAAAGAAAGATTTTCTTACATTATATTATAATTGAAATTATCCATAAATAAAGATTTAAAAATAGAAAAATTGATCCAATATTTCAAAATTTTCAATTTAATTTTTATGAAAAAATTAAAGTTTTATTTTAAATTATTAGAAAAAGGTAAATAATAGCATGATTAGAATGATTTTCTATATTTTACATAATAAATGTTCTATTCCTTTAAAACCACAAATTTTCATACAAATCTAGGCTGGCACAGATTTGATATAATTGTCATCATTTAAAAATTATTAATAAAAACTATCCCATTGTTCACATAAAGAAACTAAATTGAAGGGTTAAATAACTTGTCCAAATTCACAGAGCTAGTAAGTGACAGAGCCTGGATTCGAATTACTGCCTCTCTATCTTGTAAAAGCTTAGGAGCACTGCAAAGTGGGTGACATGTGTCTCTAAGGAAAGAAAAAGCTAGATGAAAAAAGGAGATGAGTTATAAAGGTAGAAGGAAACCATATTTAAAAGTAAGAATAGCATTAGGAGGAGAGACTGTGCAGGTAGAAAAAAGATGATTTCGCATTAAAGGACAAGATATTAATAACTTTATACTTACAGGCATAATTTGACATAAGTCGTCCACGGTAACATTGCAGATGCCTACTGGTATATTTTGATCACTAGGAATGATGGGAGGGCTCAATAATTTCTTGTAACAGCAGGGAGGGAAACGAATATCCAAGGTGATGCTGTTATAAACAGCTAGTCCCATAAGCTATGCATACTAAATGTTAAGCATTAACATAAAATCCATGACAACAAATGAGTTCTGAATTATGCATCAGTCTATTTTTTGCATACTTCTTTCAGATTTAACACTGACTTTCTAATTAGTATCACATATTTCCTTTCCCCTCTTTCATTTATTTCCCCTTTATTTTACATAATATAATTCCTTGATTACAAAAAGTCATGTAAAAAGGAGTGGTTTAGTTGATAGTATTCAATGATTTCCCTAGAAAAGTTTATCTAAGATCACAACAGGCAGCAACTTAAGACTTGCCTGTAATTATTTTACAGAAAACATTTTCTAAATTTAAACAAAGATGCTGGCAATTTTATAAGCAGCAGCAATGGTTTATTCAGTAGATCTCACTGTAGAATACTGATTTTGGAGATAGCCATTTTATTTATTTTAAAATTAAAAACAGACTATGTGTGAAGAACAGAGCTAAACTGAATAAACATATGGATATAAACATGCTATTGATAAGCTAATAGGATAGGTAATTTCCAACAGTAAAACTTGAAAGACTTATGTTACTTGGAGTTTCAGTGTCAAAGTTAAAAAGCTACAGATGTTACAAATTTTGCTCAGGATTATTTATTAGTCATATGGTGGAATGTAACTTATCCATTTATGGAAAGAGAGGTTTTAGATCAAATTTCATAGTATTTCAACAGTCAATTATTATATAAAGTTATTAAGGAAGTAATTCATTTTATAGGATCATAAGGAAATCTAAACATATGAGCTGGGTAAATTACTGAAAATAACTTTTAAAAATTGGAAGACCACCAAAATTTCAATTTGCTAAGGTGTAATGAAGTCTGATAATAAGGCCTTATACTTCAAAATAATTGTATTAGAAACACAATACTGTCAGAACTACTAGAACAACACATCTTTGGTCCTGAAATTTTAAAACTGGAGATATATATGAAACCAACTATATTTTCTCAATGTTCATACCTGTTCTTTCTCAAATTTCAGTTCCCAACTCCTTACCTGACCACAATCCACTCTCATCTCACATTTCTCCTATATAGTATTATGCTTTTTACAGCATCAATTTAGCTTTCTATAGGTTTTATATCTGTGTGTGTGATAAACACACATAATAATGAGAGTAGCAATTATAATTTTTAGATTTAATTGTTTAACTTGAAATATAGAATATCTAAACATGCTTAATATGCTCTTTTGGGTAATGACTAAATAGAAACTAATATCTATTGCAAAAAAAACAATGAGCAATTTCATGATTTTATGTATAGTATCACTTAAAAATGTAACTAAGCTATAATATTTTAGTGTAAATATTAGAGTCAAAATATCATCCAAATCTAAATTGTGATATATGAATATAAAGCATGACAAACATATATGTATGAACATATAAATAGCTCATAGTATAGTGACAAGCATCAATGATTAGGCCCTTCAATGAAGATGAAACATTCAACAAATGATTACTGCAGATACTAGAATATAAACAGGAGTCTCAGAATTGTTAAGCGTTATTCATTTTGTGGAATTTAGCACTTTGGACCTTTAGACACAACAATATATACAAAATTTCAAGTTGAGTTTACTATCTTAATGTGTAGTTTGTTCCCTACTACACTTTCTTTTATTAATCTGGTCTCTCAGTTTCCATATATATGTCTCATAATTTATTCCAACAGATGTAACAAAGACAGACATTCAAAGATGGCTCTTCATTCATTTTCTGATGGTATTTTCCATAACTTTCAGTGCGCTTGCTGCTGCTCTCTACCAAGCCCAGCACAATTTAGCCTTTTTTATTCTCACCATTCTCTCAGCTTATAATGTCCCACCACTCTCACCAGCCATATATTAATCAAATGTAATTGTTCCATTTTTTAAATCTCTATCCTCTCTGGGAAAAATACATTGTATATTTTCCTTCTCAGAACTCCTTAGTACTTACTGCCATATGGTCATTTGACTCTGAGAACAGATTAAGAATTCCCCCCCACCCCTTTTATACTTTCTTATCTCCAGTGCTTATTTATTTACTCTTCCCTCCTTTCTTCCACAAACAATTACATTTCTTGGAATCTAAAAAGCTAATGTAGAAGGCATCTTGTCCAATCTCCTACCCAATGCAGAAATGCCCTCTACAATATACCTGATAGGAATCATAGGATTGCAGATGGACTTATAAAATTTTTAAAAATACTATAAAATAATACTATATGCTTTAAATATTCCCATTCCATTCAATTTTTATGGATGCTTCCTTTATGTTTCAGGATTTGGAGGCATATTAAAGAGCTAGATTTAATTCCCCCAATTTCAATTCAGTAAACTGAGGGAAATGAGCACAAAGTGAAAGAACAGAAAAAAAATACTTCATTATAAATGGGAAATACTTTGATTTTTTTTAAAAAATGCCTTAAATTAGTGATAACTTCAATTATATGTGAAATAGGAAAGAACCATTTTTATTTTGAGATAAGGTTTTCAGAAAAAAATCAAACTCTCATTTCTTTCAATTAAGTCTACTGACATATATTACACATAATGAAGATTACTGAAAATCTAATAGTACATTTGACAATAACATTTAATTTGGATAAAATGGCTAAAGAAAACAGTTTTCTAAAATACAGATAAAATCTTTAAAAATCTCTAATCTATTAGCACCTCCTAGTGGAAAGTTTAAAGGATACAATTCCAACCAATCGGAATTCAGAATAGTTATCACATTTAAAGCTGCTAAACCAATGGCAGTGTGAATCCTTGTGATATGTAAACATGCCTAAAAAAACACACGAATAATGTTATTATTAACATGATTGACTTAAAAAAATCAAAGTGGTAAACATGTACATGACATCTCATCTATTAGAAGCTAATCAATTCAACAATAATTCTGTTACAAACCATCTTTCAAGTTAAAAATTTTGGATTATTTATGGGACTATATATTTGCAAATCTCAGCAAATATAAATATATATATTAAATATATATGGAGAACATTTTATTTTCCTGAACCAAGGGTAGAAACAGGGTAAAAAGATAGAAACTAAATGAATCAGATAACTTTATAAAAAGTATAGTTTCATAGATTATAAATTATGATCAAAATTAATTTTGAGGATATCTGGAGACTTCAATTTATCACTGTCATCCCTATTTCCCATCACATACACATATAGAAAAGAAAACTAAAGAATAAGGAAAACACTGAAAATTCTCCTTTGAAAAGTTTAACAGATAGTAAGGATTATACAGGTAGTTTCTGTAAAATAAAAAATTTCAAAGGCTTATTTTTTCTTAAAAAATTAATTCATGAATTCTTATTTATTAAAATGACCCATTAATGAAAGAGGCTTTAAATGTTACTATAGAGCAAACTATAGTTTTGTGTTTTAATTTCAAATGTTTATTTCAATGACAAATTAAATTTTCATGCATTTGACTTATTCAGAAAAGATATGGATGTTTCCTCATAAATGTTTACTTTTAATCTTGATACATTTTGTGTAGGATTCCCAGTAAGAGAATCAACTGATCAACAATTCGGTCAAACAAGTTTTTAAAATGTAAATAACAGTCCTTAAACAATTATTCAACATTTACGATGGACAAAAAGTCTGTAAAATCACAGAATAGGTTAAAAATAAGGGTGACTACTTCACTCTAACAATTATGAAGAAACACAGTTTATAAAAATTAGATTACATACTTACCATAATCTGGATGAAAAATTTGGCGAATTAGAAGAAGGAACCATTCTTTAGTCAAACCACCCATATCCAAACCAGCTTCCCCTACAAATGTAACTTTTAACTTCTTTTTCAAATCGGCTCTTTTCCGGGTTAGCTATTTGAAGATATTATACAGTAGAGGAGAACAAAGAGCAGTGAAAAGAGAATTAACATTTTTAATTCTGGGAAATGTGTTAGGCAGTCTTTAACTTATTTGCAATGCTACAAAACTCCATCCCTCCATTTATCCAATAAATCTGCCAGACACTGTGTGAGCTAGGTGTTTACTATGTCTTATAGATCAGGAAACAGAATTAGAGAGGTCAGGTACTTCACCCAAAGTACTACCTCCTGGTATCTACTGCCTTCAAATTTTTAATTTAGCACAATATAATTCATTTCTTTTTTTAAAAAAAACTCCCCTTCAATGCTAAACTTTAAAAAATCACATAGCTAGGGCTGGGTGTGGTAGCATGAGCTGGTAATCCCAACTATTTGGGAGGCTGAGGTAGGAGTATGGCTTGAGACCCTGAGACCAGGAGTTTGAGGCGGCAGTGAGCTTTGATTGTACCACTACACTCCAGCCCAGGTGACAAAATAAAACTTGTCACAAAAATAAATAAATAAATAAATCACATAGCGGAATCAGCCATTATCTTCTAATAACCATATTAAGATCTAGCTGAAGCATTTTTTATGATAATACATGAAAATGCAATCAAAGTATGTTAGAACCTGTATAGACCCAATATACCCTGTAGGTCAGACCTCTAATTTTATAGATGTGTAGTCTGAGACCTGGAGAAGTTAAATGACTTGTTACACACATAACCAGGAACAAAGGTGGGTCTGGAATCTAGGTTATATACTAAGAAACATGAATTACTCATTTAAGTGTTCTACATCAAATCCTTTTCTAGGGAATTAACAAACTATTAATAAACATACAAACATGAATATAAGACAATTATGAATACAGATCTGATTTTAACTATGGTATCAAACTTTACAGAAGCTTGGTATGCAACAAGATCTTCAAAAGAATTTAAGGAAGCACACTTATTGGCATACAGAAATAAAAAAGTTTACTATGATTTTTATAATAATCATATTATAGAATTTTAAGCTTTAATTAATATCATTTTGGAATAAATTATACCTCATCAAGTGAATCGCTAACCAGATGTGTCCGTCTTACTTTCATATTTAGAAATAATATATTCATATCAGGTCTCTGTCTTCGAGATACTTTATCCACCAGACTTTGCTGATTAAATAAGAAAGTAAACAGTTTTGCTTTTACTTAGACTATAATTTCATTTAAAACATTTAAACACTTTAGTAAAAATAACAATTATTATCTATGCCATTTCTTATATAAACAATTTTATAAAAATCAATTATACACATTTTGATTTGTGAAAATGGCTTATTATTATTTCATTTTGTAACAATGATAACCAAAGGGGATCCAAAGTGGAGGACCAAAAATAATTCACCTTCTGTAATAAAAAATGTTGCATCACAGTTTCCGTATGTCTCATCTCTTTTTTTTTTTTTTTTTTTTTTTTTTTTTGAGACGGAGTCTCACTCTTTCGCCCAAGCTGGACTGCAGTGGCGCTATCCCGGCTCACTGCAAGCTCCGCCTCTTGGGTTCATGCCATTCTCCTGCCTCAGCCTCCCGAGTAGCTGGGACTACAGGCGCCCACCACCACGCCCGGCTAATTTTTTGTATTTTTAGTAGAGACGGGGTTTCACCGTGTTAGCCAGGATGGTCTCGATCTCCTGACCTCGTGATCCGCCCGCCTCGGCCTCCCAAAGTGCTGGGATTACAGGCGTGAGCCACCGCGCCCGGCCATGTCTCATCTCTTAAATAGCAAAGTTTTCTGTTTAATAAATACAAATATAAAATGGGAACATTCAAAACAAGGTATATATTCCTGATGATAAACCTGGACTTAGGATTTTTTAGATATTGAATTTTCTTTAAAGGTACAATTAGTCTACTTTACAAAAGTGACTTGTCAACATGTATCAAAGACCATCACAATATTCATATCCTTTATCCCAATAATCCTTCCACTGAGAATTCTTAGAACATATTTTATACAGTACAATGTTTATCACAGCATTATCTATAAAAACAAAACTTTAGAAATATCTTAAGTACATATACAACTAATGAAAAAAAGGATGGTCATAAAAACTATGTAAATAGTACAAGGAAGGTACACTGAAGAAAGTAGGAAATAAAATTGTGTTTACAGTACTATTTCAACTCTGTTGTCTTTTAAAGATAATATAGAACAAATATCAAAAGAAAATTTACTAAAATGTTAATGGCTTTGCTTGGGGGATAGAGATATGAGTGACTCAAAATTCTTTTGTCACCGTTTTTCAAAATATAAGCACTGAATAGGTAAAAAACAATATATTTAAAAATATCTATAAGGAATATGTCATTTGTCATATAAAATCCACAGGCTTATATATTTATCTAAATAGTCTTTATTAGACTATATCTTTTTTTGGTAACAATGAAAACTATTGTGCAGATTAAAGATAAACATTTCAGACATTTTAAATACATGCAGCAATTTGCTTTAATAGATAAAATTTTAGTATCACAAATCTACAATTTAAGGCTACTTACAATTTTGAAGATTACTATAATAAAACACTAATTTGGAGCTTTCTCCATTTCTCCTATATACAACGCTAAATGCTATTAACAGCCTTTTATTTCTGTGTCCTCACTTATCAAGGAAGTCTGCATTCCTAGCATAGTGTCCTGTGTTACAGACCGTTTTTTCCTACCTTTTCCTATCTTCTGTTCCCAGTCTAGCTCTTGGGCAGCTGTCACATTGGAAATAACTAATAAACAAATTTATGCTAGGATGCTAATGGCAAACAAGATTAGTAGCTACTCCTCCCATCAGGAATTCATATTTACTGGAAAATGCTCCAAATGAAAAAATAACCCAACAATGATACAATTCTTGACACTGTGACTGAGGAACTTATTTTAGGTTAGGAAACCAATTTTGTATATTTAGATTGTACCATATAAGCTCTTGCTTACACTGACTATTTGTAAGATTGTCCTTGTGTCAAAATAGTCATCAGTCATTAATTCCAAGTGATATGGCAATTTATGAGATAAAATGTTGGGAAACACCCATAAAAAACTGATAATGCCACTTAGCTCTCAATGTCAAGTGTCTACTCATTCGTTTGCATGCTCTGTAGAAAACTTAGCCTGTCACAGAGTCTACACCTGCCATTCTCCTTCTTTAAAGTAGAAGAAAAATTCCACAAAAAGATATTTGATATCCTGTGAGTGACACAGAAAAAACTGTTTAGTCTTGCTAGTTTAACACAAACTAGCTCATTCTGTTACGTACAAAAGCACTGTAGATTTTCTTACAAATATAAAAAAATCATAGACCAAGGTGAAAAAATACTAAAAAGGCACATGACATTGTACGAGTACAACTAACAGAAAATGTCAGAATGAGTAGCTATACAGCTAATCATTGAGCCAATATCTACCCAAGATCAAGTAACAATTCTGGTGCTGAATATACCTGTTTAAACTCATTCTTCAGGGGGGTAGTGTGGCTTTGGAATTCCCTTGATGGGCATAGGCAATAAAATTTCTTCTAATATTCCCATATTCAGTATAAGATGACTTTGGGATGTCACCAGTTACTCAAATCTTTTGTCCTTCTCTGTGATAGAAAGAAATACTCACCTTCTGGGAACTGAATTACTGAAGAATAAACATTCTTATTTTTTATAGCATTTTGAAGTATTACAATTTATGCTTTAGGATTCTTTTTATACTCTTGAACAAGATGGAAATCATTTCTTTTTACTCTATATTCCTTTTTCAATTAAGAAGACCACAGCCAAGCTTCCCTCTTTTAAAATTGTGAGCAATCATGTAACACAAGCAGATGTTTGAAATACATAAGCACTTAAACAAATAGTTTAGAGCTCTAACAGAAAAACCTCACTGAATCTGATATTTATTAGATAAAGTACATTACTGTGCTGAGCTGAAACACAAGGGATAGGAAGTGGTAAGGACAGACTGAGAGATAACTTCATACTGCTCTACAATTTGCCTAAACTCAGTCTGCTTGCTATCCCCAGCCTCTTTGGGTCTCCATGCATTTTGGTTTCCTAAGAACCAATAAAACATCTTTCACCTTCTTTGGGCATATTTCTCAGTTCTCCAAGACACACTTTTTGTTACATTTTCTAATTTTTCGGTTGTTTCTGATTTTCATAAAACCTAGAAAATGTTTCAGTAGTTTGAGTGGTTTGCCTAATGACACTCTGCCTCACCGCAGTTCTCAATGCTCTGCTGGTTATCTAAGGTTGGTGGTATGGTATCTGCAAAACGAGGTCCAACAAGCTCTCAGTAATTTGAATCTGTGAGAAGCATTTACTCTTCCTACTATATTTATAATATAATGAGAAGTTGATCAGAAGAGATGAGAGTTATCTTGTCTCCCAAATTGTAAATAGTTTTTAAGCACTTTTTGGGTGAGTATAACACGAATTTTGCTTTTAACATTCCTGATTATGCTAGAACAATTCACAAGACATTTAAATTATTTATTAAATTATTTACTATACTGATTATAGTCAGCATAAATATGTTTTTATAGCTGACTTACCCTTGCGATGTTTATCATCTGTTGCTCTGAGTCTCTCTGAATAATGATTTTTTTTGCAGCTACAGAAATAACGAATGGGTACTGACAGAAGGAAAACCTGCTCAACAAGTGAAAAAAAGAAAAAGCAAAATGGTGTATTTTTAACAAAATTATACTAAGGGAATCTAAGGTACCCCTTGTAGCAATATAAAACATTACTTTTGGATTGTGTTTTACCATATACAAAATGATTGTATGTGTATAATTTCTTTTAATTCTCACAGCCATGTGAAGAATGTATCATTACTAGATGTGCAATGCCTTTATTCTCTGCAGAAGCTACATCAAAGGTTCTGAATGTGTGCTAACCACTTACATTGTCTATACAAATAATTTCATTGTATATCATCACCTGTGAACAACATGGCCAATACCAGAACCAGGAGGGAGAAGTGTTGGTTAAGTAGTACAGAAAACCCAGGTGCTCAAAATTAATATAAGAATCCATCATTATATGGTGACTTCTGATGTGTGAGTTCCAGAAATGAAAAAATCTAACAATAACTACAGTATGTAAAAAGTAAAGTAATATATTTAAGACCAATAAAAATAAATCAGAAATGTATGTTACATTTAGTATTATATTTAATGGTGTGGTAATAGGAAATGGTATGTATTTGTAATTACACATTATAAAAAGGTTATGAAAATAACCCCTCCTGGGCTAGAACATTCTATGCTATGCACAAAAGCCACAAACTACACAGAGATAAATGCATTTAGAAAGAATGAATATGGCAGCAATGACACTTCTGGAGTTAGATTGCCATTCAAAGTGACTACAGTGAATCTATCAGTTACAGCTGGAATCCCTCTGAGCATAGTCAGGTGGTACAACTGTGACCACTGAGAAAAAAGGCATTATTAGGAAAATGGATATAGCCTTAGTGTAAACTGAAAGTGAGATGGCTTTTACCATGGGACAAAATTGTTAATAAAAGTTGAGAGTTCTTCAGTACTGGTATATAATTATTTTGAATCATTAATGCTAACAAAAAATTGGAAATAAAAAGAAAATGCAATGAACTCAGTAAGATATATATTAGTTTTACTATGTACTTTAGGACAGGGGTTCTCAACCTTTCCCTTGTTATGCACAAGAGAAATGATACTTTGTGAATGATACACTGAAATGAACAGATGAAGCTGCTCATGGCCAGAGATCACTTGCCATAGGGCTCCTGTTCCCCTCTAGGTTCAGGCTGGCTACCCAAGGGTTGACAGGATCCTAGGATTAAAACCCTAATGTAACTCATTCTTGGTACACCAGTGTTGTGGCACAGTTGTTAGAGGAAGCTCTATATTAAAAGATGTTGTTGTCAGTGAAATATGCATAATAATTCTTGGCGCTGTTTTGTGGTTGTATCTACAACACATTACAATTATATTAAAATGGAAGGAAAAAGTATCTTTGTAAAGTAAACATTGCCAAGAAAATATCCATCTGGGACTAGGGTGCCCAGAACTTAAATTCTTATTCTTATTCAGTTCTGAGTGTTCAGATGTGAAATGAGATGTGTCCAGAAGCCCATTCTATGTTTCAGGCCAATTCTGATAAAGAGGGTCCCTGGAAAGTTTAACCAATTTACAAACTAATCTGGGGTTTTGAGGTTACTTATATCCACACTGTATCTCTTTACTCAGATTCCTCTACAATTAAATGCAATCTCCTGAACATCTCATGACCTGAGGATAAATTATGTTTGGAATAGTCTTGCTAGTTTAATCCAAACTAGAAGTGTGGATATAAAGTGCAGTGTATTAAATAATTTGGTGACTGTTTTACAAATCTATTAATTATTATAATAAATAAGCTGTGGTAAGGCCCTTTCTCTGTAACATCTACTCTTTTTATATTGCACCTAATGGACAACCACTTTTTCTTACAAAAGAAATGAGAAATGAATGTATGTGTGTGTCTGTGTGTGATCAATATATTAGATCATGCATCTGCAAACCATGGGCCTAAGACAAATATGGCCTACAACCTGTTTTTGTAAATAAAGTCATTTGGGACACAGACATATCTATTCATTTACATCCTGTCTAAGGCTACTTTTGTGCTAAAATAGCAAAATAGAACCTGTGTAACCTATAGTGTTGAAAATATTCACCATCTAGTTCTTTACAGAAAAAGTTTTGCTGACCCCTGTGCATAGAATAGTAAGAGATAAGAGACTGCATATTAAGATAGAACCTCTCCCTTCTTGAAAAGATGCTATTAACCAAACCAAAACCAAATTAACATGTACATAAATTCAAAATGTAGCAGAAAAAGAAAATACTTTAATAAATATGATATTTCAAGGCTATCTGAACTATATTTATACATTTATATGTAAACGTATGTGTAAACTTCATATAAACTTAAACTCTAGTCATTCTTTTGAATAGTATTTCATTTAGGTGGATAATCAAAGGAACTTTTGTTCATACCTGTGAGAGTTTCCAAAGTTTTGCCAAGTATGATATTCTTCCATGAGATCAATGTGATCCAATGTAGAATTATAGAAATCAGTATAAGGAATAAGGGGAGGGTGAACTAAATTGTTTGCAGTATCTGTAAAGATAAATTCTAACATAAAGACTTTTTCCAACATGTACAAGATTCATTCTAATAATAAAAACATCATTTTAATGTCTACAAGACAGCCTTGACCTAGAAACTCCTATTTTAAATAAATGTAGCTCCAAATGAAAGGGGTAATTTAAAAATTGTGGTTAAAATGCAGCCAATAGTTTCTTGCTTAAAAAAGAAAACTTGTGGTGAGGATTATAATAGTATTAAAGGGAATATGCAGATGGCCATTTACTCCTATTTCTGTGTGTTCTCTCTTAGGGGTCCTAGCTCATATGCACTTAATTGCCATAATACAGAACACTGTCCACTAAAAGACATAAAGCTTTTTTCATGCTTATAAATTATGAAATCTATTATCAAAGTAGAAAATAAATTACAACTCTTTCCTTCACAGAAATGGTTTAAAATTTAAGAATGCCTCTATAGTCTTTTGAAATCCTTAAGAAATATCCCTAAAATGTAACAAAAGAAAAGTAAAAAATGATAGAATAATAAAAACCTACTAAGTAAAGCCAACACTTTAGCGGCTGATGGAATCCACCAGGAACACTTTGTTATAGGTGGAAATTCTTCAGGCTTTGCAGGAAACAGGCGTAAAGAAATAAATTGCAGCAATCTCTCTACCAATTGTTTGAACCTCTTCTGGGACAATCTGGTAAAGATTTCAAAATAATTGCAATCAAAATTCACATTTTCTATTTCCAAAATTATCTGTTAGATATTAAACTACATCCTAAGCCACAAAATTTTAGACTATTCCCCCAAATTCTATTTCTTAAATTGCCAAACATTTGAAAAGATACAAAATCTTACCTTGAATACTGTCTTCGTTAAATGAGAAATAAACACCAAAATTACTATAAAGTTAGTAACAAACATTTTAAAGACTTTCAATATTCAGTCTTCATTATTCACAGATTCTATATTTCCAAATTTGCCTACTTGGTAAAATTTAATTGTTAATCCCCAAATCAATACTTGTGTTTTCATGGTCATTTGGGGACATGTGAAAGATGTTAGTCTCCTGACATGCACATTTCCAGCTGAGGTCAAAGTGATGTTCTGCCTTGTTTTAGCTCAATACTCTCTCTTTGCAAGTGTCCTTTATGCAATCCATTTAGCTTCATGTTTTTCACATTTTGGTGCTTTTTGTTGGTGATTTTGCAATTTCAAAATGGCCAAGTGTAGTGCTAAAATGCTGTCTAGTGTTCCTAACAAGAAGGTTGTGATGTGCCCTACAGAGAAAATATGTATGTTAGAGAAGCTTCATTCAGGCATGAGTTACAGTGCTGCTAGCCGTGAGTTCAATGATAATGAATCAATGACTTCTATTAAATGAAGTGTGTCTTTAAAAAAAACACTCATAAAGCAAAGTTATATACTGATTGGCTGACAAAAATGTGATCAGAGGCTCACAGGAACCTAACCCTGTATTTCCCCTTGAAGCAATGGTTCTGTATTTATTAATTCCATGTTTGTGGTGACATTATAGAATATAACTACTATGAATAATGATAATTTACTGCATTTAAAATTTCTTTTGGAAATATTTTGCCTTTCTACTTTTATCAGTCATGGAGAAGTCATTGTTCATGTGGGTATAGTTCTGTGAAAAAAGTATTATGCTTTTACAAATTGATATTGATGGCTAGCCTATATTTTACAATGACATTTTTAGGTAAGGAGAAAGCGCCATTTAAATAATGGTGAAATTTATGAATTTACAGATAGAAAATAAAAAGACACACATTAAAATAGTAGTGTCTGAGCAAATCCAGTCACCATCTTTGAGATACGTAAAAAACCAATAATAGGAATGTGCTATATAAAAAGTGAAGGCAGTAGACAGAAATTCTCAACAGCTTGTGCAAACAAATTGGTTACTTACATTAAAAACAGATTTTTAATTATCCTTTATGTAGTACTAAAGTAGATTTTTGTAACTGGCTTTTGAAGCATTGTGAATATAAGCATCATTTCTAAAGACCTGAAAATATTTAAATATATTTTATTGTAAAATTACTAATACCAAACTTAAAACTGTGAGACTATAAAAGTTCTTAATATCATAGAATGATTTACTTTTTAAACCAGTGAACTAGGAAATGATGGTCAGCTTCCACTAAGGTAGCTATCTGTCGTAGCAAGTGAGCATAGATGACATACGTAGATGTGTTATTAAACTGAGGATTCTGAAAAAGATATTAAAGATAATTGTGTTAAAATTCTGTTAACACGTAAAAGGAAAGACACTAAGCTTAATAAGTACGTGGTAAATTCAGGAAACAAAATTTGAGATTATAAAATAACAATAACCTATTTGTTATTTAATTAACAGAGACTTTCATTTACACTGCGGCTATACAGTGAAAAGAGCATGGGCTTTGGAGTTAAGACAGATCTGGGTCTGAGGGCTAATTCTACCACTTACTAGCTATATGCCCTTAGGCATGTTCCTTACACTTTGATTCTCAATGTCCTTATCTGTAAAATGGGAATGATATTCTCTATCTTAAGGGTTGTTTTGAGTATCGAAAAAGAAAATGTATATAAAGCACCTTCATAAAAAGTGCCTTCATAAATGGTACCAATCACTATCATCCAATTAAAAGCAAAAAACCTGGGTGTTCCTTGATTAAAAGCTAGAAAAACGAAGTAAAAGCTGGTTGTGAAACTTTTGCCATTGTAAAATGAGTTAGCCTCATATATCACAAAGAACAAGGGGAGAAACACATACAGCTTCTGACAACTTTTAAATGATAAAGGGACGCTGAAGGAATACTTGTAAACTAAGAAAAGCCTTTAGTTAATGTTTCCAAAATATAAAATTCTAGCACAATGTACATTTCAGCACATCATGGAAAAAATAAATATTATTGAAAAAAACCTCCTGAAATTGTGAAAAATAAGAGAGCACCATGTGTTTTTCAAAACTGACTTATTGACAGAACAACTCAAAATCTGGGACTGACCTCAGCTGATAACTTCATCTGGTAATGGCTCTTGAGAAGAACAAAATATGAGCAGAGCTTATGGCTGACCAATATACTCACCTAAAATCTGAGCTTCGTGTCATCTTTCTAGCTTTTACTATCTCTACATATGTTTATTCTTGAGTTTTGGCTCTTTCTCCTCTTACTTCTCTATTTTCCCTCCTTACATTTCTCTTCTTAACTACCTCTTGGTCATTTTCCCCCCTTTTCCACTTTTTCCTCTTTCCTCACTTTCTCTATCCCTACCCTGTATATGTTCTTTCATTAGACATATTGATATTATAATATCATAATATTGTACTAAACACTATACTTATTTAATATAGTTTTCCTTACTTTTAAATGAGATAATATACATGGACAACTTTTATAAATTGTAAAGAATAATGCAAATGTATTAATAGTATGCTAGCTATGGTAATAATGTATTTCTTCCTCAAAAAATAATAAAAAGTAAAAATTGCTTTTCATTTGTCTGGATCTTAATTTCTTTTTGTATCTATTAATCTGTATCTATCAAGAGGAAAAAGTTCATTATCTTCGCTTTATAACAAATTAAAAAAAAACCTTTTATCTTTCCATAAGAATTCTAATTGAAGTTATTGAAAAATACATAGTGAAGTGAAAACCTACTAGATGGGAAAATAAAAGAAAATCCTGAAGCCTGTTAAAACTAGTTACAAGAAACAGGTTTGAATGGAGGAGGAAGAAGTGCTTCCATTCTGTTTGTTCCTGAATACTCTGGCAGGAACTAAATCAAAATTTTAATCTCACATGTAATTTAGCTTCTGATTATTTATTTGTTATGGCTTTAATCTTATTTTTCTTACTTTTTAAAATCTTACTTATCTTTTAATCTTATTAATCCTACTTTAAAAAAAATCTTCTGGTTACAGGTAACTATAATTCTAAAAAGAATCAATAATGTTGCCCAAAATGATATTTAATATTTAATATCATTTCACATACACATGTAGGGATTGAGATCTGACTTAGACAACTTCAACTAGGTTCTGGTTCTCTTACCTGTAAAAGTATAAAATATGCTCTAAGATCATCTTTTGTTCGTGGACTGAAAAAGAAACAAGAATAATTTATTATGGATGAATGTTTAATCTCATAGCATCTAACGAAAAAGACCAATAAACTTTTCTATGAAGACTGAGTTGAGAAAAGCCAAAAACTAGGATTAATATGCATTATTATTGAGACAGTCCATAATATGCTGAAAATACAAGTGCTTCTGTGCCTCTCCTAGGCTGATTCTGAAGATAACTAAAGACTGAGCTAACTAGGCTATAACATTTTGTGAGGTAAATATGATTAACTCTGGAAGTAGTTAGGTGTGTAATAAAATCATCAATTTTAGAATACTTATGTTTTTGTTTTAATAAAGGATAATCTTTACTTAAGAACATTTATGTATTAAAGAAAGAAAATATGCTTGTGTTTCTAGGTTCATTCCTAAAGTGATGTAGAAATGTCTGTAAATCAAATCATACTTTAAATACATCCAGTATGCTTCTAACAGAAAGAATCATGAAAAGTAAGTAATTTTTTCCATCTTAATATGAATTCTCATAGTATGAGATTTGGCCAAGAGCTTTTGTTATTCTCAAGGCTAATGAGTGTTTCTTGCCTGCTCAAGATCTATTTGGTACATTCTCACAGATATCTGGAAGTAACTTCTTCAATTGAAAATGGTTCACCTCTATGACAACCAGATGCAATTCATGATTCCTAACTGGGTCCTGGATTGAAAAACAAAACCCAGATATTAAAGCTTTTGTCATTCTCTATGCTGACAAGTGTTTCTTTCTTGCCTGCTCAAGATCTATTTGTATATATCACCTATTCCTCCAAGTCCTTTCCTATCCTACCTAGAGCTTTATAATCTTGGCAAGGTCATTTATGCCTGCATAAATTATCAGGCATGCACAATAAATTGTATGAGTAGGTTTGATTTCTTAGAATTTTTTTAATGATATTTTTACTATAATATTCAGGAAGCAGCTAACTCCCAGTTTGGCCTTAACCCTTCAGTCCTCAGACACTTAACTGAGATGTAACAGGGGTTTCATCTTTTTGAGTCTAGTAACTGATTTTCTGAAACGTGAGATATAGGAAAATATAATACAAAAAGGTCAATTTTCTTACAACAAGCAAGAGTTTCTAACAGAAAATCAGGCAAATCTGCAATAAAAAATGGCAAAAGTAGGTGGAAAACTTATAAAAGGATAAATAAAAATAGCAACAAATGATAAAATGTTAAGCTTATTAGTATTAAGGAAAAGTACATAAAAATGAGATCCACTTTTCATTTATTAAATTAGGCCAAGTTTTGTTAAAAGAAGATACCAATGAAGTCTCAGGCCCTCTGCTGTTAGAAGTATACATTATCATAACTGCTTTGTAAATAAATCTGACAAAATGTATTGTCTTAAAATGTTTATACTCTGATGCAGTAATTATATTTCTAAAAAAATTTTTACATAAATGCTCAGAAAAGAAGATTTTTGTACAAAATGTTCACTGTGGAATTATTCACATAAACAACCATTCTTGGAGAATGGTTAGGTAAATTACAGTACATTCCTATTCTAAGTTATTAGTCAGACATTAAAAGTGTGGTTTAAGAAGGAAAATGCAAACAGATTACTAGAGTAATAAACTAAGAAAAAGATCATTAAGTTAAAAGTCACATGAAACTATACAGTATGATTTTAATTGTTTTTAAAAGATGACTAGAAAAACACTGTAAAATGTAAACATTTTTTACTTTCTTCTTTTTTTTGAGACAGTCTCACTCTATTGATTCTGAAATTTATGTTACAGATAGAAACTAAAAAGACATACATTAAAATAGTAGTGTCCAAGCAAATCCAGTCACCATCTTTGAGATATATAAAAAACCAGTAATAGGAATGTGCTATATAAAAAGTGAAGGCAGTAGACAGAAATTCTCAACAGCTCAACAGGCTGGAGTGCAGTGGCATGATCTTGGCTCACTGCAACCTCTGCCTCCAGGATTCGAACGACTCTCCTGCCTCAGCCTCCTGAGTAAGCTGGAATTACAGGACGGTGCAACCACATCTGGCTAATTTTTGTATTTTTAGTAGAAATGGGGTTTCACCATGTTGGCCAGACTGACACTTTCTTCTTTATACTTCTCTGCCTTCTCTATATTTTCTATAATAAGCATGAATTTCTTTCAAAATCAGAACAATTAAAATATTATTAAAATATATATGGTACATGTAACATTACATTTAAGAATTCTACTTAGGTATTACTTTTAAACTAGACTTGGCATTCCTTTGGCTTTAATGGAAGTTATTATTTAAATAATATACTTTTAATATAAATTTAAATATGTATTTTTAAAAGTACATTTTTATATTATGCATATTCATGGTTCAAAACATTACCAATTAAATTGCCCATGATTCCTTATATAAGAATCTAATATTTAGTTCTGAGAGAAAAAAATATTTTAGTAGCTGGCCTTAGGCGTCCCTATAATAGAAATAAGAAAAATTTCACTCTGGCTACCAGGAAGCCCAAGGCTAAATTTAATGCTCATTATTTCAGTTAGGTTACTGATGTAAGTACCCATTCCATTTTTGTTAAGCATATATATCTGCATAGAAAAAACTTTACATACAATTTAAAAGAATTCACAGATCTTTTTATGCCCATCTATAGATCCTACTGAGAGGTCACAAATCTCAAGTTATACAGCTTTGTTGTAAATGGCTTATAATTCTTTTCTCATCTATGTTATTATAACTCAACTAAAATCTTTTCTGAGAGTAAAATACATACACATGTGTTAAAGATATATGATGTGTAAGTTAGACATCTATACTGATTAGCTAAATATTGAAAATATTAGTTTACCCTTTCCATTCTCGTAACAGGCTGTTAATGATTCCCTTTAATACTGTCTTCTGAACGTCTTGAGGCTGTAGGCAAAAGAAAACAGTAAGGTAATTAGGATTACCAAATTAGGTGACGTTTATATGTTAATTATATTTACAGATCTGTTTCAATAGTTAAAATCAGACTTGATGACTCAGGACTGACACTTATAGTAGTACTGATTTTACATTTAAGAACTCTAGAGAGCATCAATGACATAAGATTACAGTAAGAGTATCCCTGGTATGTGTAGCATACAACATGCACAAACATATATGGTGGTGGTTGATGACCAACAGAATTTTTATATAACTGGAAAACAATTTCACTTTCCTTGACCCGACAGGACAGAGTAATGAACAAGAATCCAAGCGTAACATGTTTATTAACATAATATTACCATTCTAGTTTAATAATCCAAATACTAAAAATCTTATTTACTATCAAACATCCCAAGAATAAATGAAAATAAAATACATTTAGATAATACTTTAGTTTATAAGAGAATAGAAGCTTCATTAACAAGAAACTTCAAATAATCAGTAAAATTTGTGTCATGTTACATGAAAGAGGCAAATGCCAATACACATATATTATGCTTTTATTTAAAACCACAACCATTACTTCCAAGACATGTCTATCAGCACTCATTCAGCCTAGCTCTTATGTCATATACACATATACGTATATATATTTAATATAGCATTCCTTTCTCTTCCTCTGCTTACAGTAACCCCGCACACCCAGAGAGTATCCCTGCTCAACCACTTAGTGTTTGCCCCTGAGCAACAAAAGCTGCAGGAGAAAAACCAAACAAATGTGCTGACTGGACATACTTTAAGTTTATGACCACAAATCTCAAAAGGACACTCAATACCACTGACAGTCCCACAACATTTCTATAGTTCACTTACTTCTCTACACTTCAAGACAACTATATTTCAAACCTTCTTATTCCTCAAATCTATAACACCTCCTTCCCAGCATCATTCCTAGCTATGACCTTGCTACACACTTGGCATCTGCATTGGACCCGCAGGGGTTTTTTTTTTTTTTTGAGACGGAGTCTCGCTCTGTCATCCAGGCCAGACTGCGTACTGCAGTGGCGCAATCTCGGCTCACTGCAAGCTCCGCTTCCCGGGTTCACGCCATTCTCCTGCCTCAGCCTCCCGAGTAGCTGGGACTACAGGCGCCCGCCACCGCGCCCGGCTAATTTTTTTGTATTTTTAGTAGAGACGGGGTTTCACCTTGTTAGCCAGGATGGTCTCGATCTCCTGACCTCATGATCCACCCGCCTCGGCCTCCCAAAGTGCTGGGATTACAGGCATGAGCCACCGCGCCCGGCCCGGACCCGCAGGGGTTTTTATCCCCTCCCCATCCTGAGCAGCCTCTTTGCTAGGATCAAGACGACCACACCCCAGCCAAAGACAAAGGCCTCACAGGTGCTCACAGGGCAGGCAGGTGCCCACAGAACTTCAAGAAGACGGTTCTCACTCCTCTCGCCCTTTGCCCTCATTGAGAAATCTAGCCACAGCTTGACACAGGGACGGAGAAAGAAGCCAGCAACAGGATAGGGCAAGCATCTCTGTCACTCAAATGCTGGCCTTCCTGGCCAAGTCCCGTTTGGCACTCCTCCCCGGATGCCTGCGGTGGTGGCATTGCGCCATATCCTGCCTGGGCTCTGGCCTCTGTTCTGTCCTCCCTCTTGCTCTGTCTGCCCTGTTTCTGAGAAGCCTAGAGGCTTCTTAGTCTGGCTCAATGTCTTCAACAAAGAAGACTTCCCAGTCCATCAGGGAGAAACTTCGTGGGGGTCCGTGTCATGATTGTTTCCCTCTCCAAACCTATTTCTGGGTGATTGAGCAGGTGTGGTGATCCTGGAGCTCTGGGCTTCCATACCTGCCTGGGACAGGGAAGCTTTCTAGGTCTCAGATGCACCCAGATAACAGATTCACTGTCCCTATGTAAATTCTACCAATTTGCCTGCAACTGCACTTGACCAAGGTCAATCCCTTCATTTGAGTCCTACATCCCATCCCCTCTCATAATCTTGTCAAGGACATGGTTATTAAAGTTTTTCCTTATCTCTCCTGTATCATCCGTTTCTCCCTCTCTACTAAAACATTCCTATCAGTATAACAACGCAGACTAACATCACTGGCACTGATTTGCTGTTCTTCTCCACTTTGCTCTATGCCCTCAGAGGCCAATTCTGAAGGACTGTATCAACTAGACTCCTTTGCCTTCTTATTGGGCTCAGCTAATAGAAAGCACTAGCAGAAAAGAAAAGAGAGTGAAGTTGGGGTATTTGTTCCCTCAGGTCCCCACCTCCAGGGTCACCATGGGATGGTTGTCATGGGTCGGCTGTGTCCCTAGAGTGAAAGTCCCATCTCCTGTAAAGCAGCCCTCTCACCCACAGTTCATCTCTAGATTCTCCCCTGGGCACTATGCTGTCCTTATGGTCTCACTTACTCTGCTAACAACTTTGTAAATAACCCAATTTACCAATTTGAGTGTGTTGTCTGTTTACTACCAGGACCCTGACTGATGTATTGACTTTATTTAAAACATCTCGTTTGGGCCATCTTCTAGCTACCGCCTCATTTCTCTGCTTCCCTTCATAGTGAAAGCTCTCAAGAATTATCTGTACTATCTCTTCTCATTGTCAACTCATTCCAAATAGGCATATTAAAGTCTTACTAGACTCTTATTAAAGTCATCAATTATCTATAGCTTATGAAAGACAATGGTCAATTCTCTGTCCAAACCTTACAAAATGTCTCAGCAACATCTGACAAGGTGGAATACTCTTCTTTTTTAAACACTTTGATCTCTCCTTCACGAATGCCTTATCCATCTAATTAAATGGCAACAGCATCCACTCAGTTTCCTGTCTTTCTTGCCTTTGAGTGCCACATCCAATGTACTGGAAGTTTTACTAGCTCTACTCCATAATATATGAGTCTGAACATTTCTATTTTCATTGCCAAAATTGCTAATCCAAATATCAACTTTTGCTTCAACTACTACAAGGCCTTCCTAACTCCTTTCTCTTGACACACTACAGACCATTTTCTGCTAAGCATCTAGAGAGATCTTTCTTAACTATAAATGATCCCTGCCGAAAACACTCAATGACTTTCCATTACCATACAATTAAACTTGCATGGTCATATGCAGTCTCATCTCTTACCAACCTAGTCTTCTCCTTTCTCCCAAATTCACCAAGCTTTAGTCTCACAAGCCTTATTTCTGAATTTGCCAATTGTGTTCCCTTCTCAGGGCCTTTTTATTAGCTGTCACTTCTGTTAGTGCGCTGCTCTCACAGATCTTCTCATGGTTTCAGTTATTTTCATCATTAAGACCTCAATTGTTGCCTTACAGAGGCCCTCCCTGAGCTTCCTAGCTAAAAGCAACCACTAATCACTTCTTATTACATTGCCCTATCTTCTCGAAGCACTTATCAGTATCTGAAATTATCTTTCTTCACATTTGTTTTCACATTTATTTTCTATCTGTAACCTGCCCCCAATAGAAATTAGAATATAAGCTACTTAGAGCTGTATATGACATGCATTTTTGTTTAACACTGTATCTCCAACACCAAGACAATACATACTCACTGACTAACTGCTCAACTCTTTGCATACTTAAGTTGAATCCTTCCAAGATGCAAATAAAAATCAACCTCTTCTGTATAACCTTCCCAATTCCAGTGATTTCTCCCTCATCTGATCATCTGTAGTATTTACTTTCCTAAAGGCCATATCTTCTGAAGTTAGTAACAACGATTTCAACTTCCTTTGGTTTAGAAGGTGTCTGGTATATATTCTATATACCCTTACTTTCAACCTTTTTAGGTATCTCTTGTGCTTAGCATGGAATATAATTTTTAAAAATCTAAAGTGATAGTCTCTTCTAACCAGTGAGTTTAGTGCATTTATATTCGTTATTCAATTACTTATTCCTATATTTGGACTTGTTTCTGCAATCTTATTTTTTGTTTTCATTCAACTCACTTTTTAATGCTTCTTTTTCCCATTCCCCTACTCTCCAGTTAAGAAAGTTATTTGCTCCACTTGCACTGTTTTAGAGGTTACTTTTGATTTCTTATTATTCATAGTTAACAAGCCTAAAGTTAATATTCTACTCTTTCTTTAGAGCATCTTAGAATACTTTTAATTCCAATAAGCTTCCTCTACTTATGTGTTGTTATTCTCCCATCTTTTGGCTTTTTCTTCTTAATTACACACATTAGACATCAATTTTATGCAGGCATTTTTTAGGGTGACACATAAATACAGTTGACCCTTGAACAACATGAGAGTTAGGAATGCTGACCCCCAATGCAGTAGAAAAATCCATGTATAACTTTTGACTCCCCCAAAACTTAACTATCAATAGCCTACTGTTGATCAGAACCTCACCAATAATATAGTTTATTAACACATATTTTATATGTATTATGTATTATACACTGAATTCTTATAAAATAGAGAAAAGATAATGTTATTAAGAAAATCACGAGAAAATATATCTACTGTTTATTAAGTGGAAGCAATTATCATAAAGGTCTTTATCCTCTTTATCTTCACATTAAGTAGGCTAAGGAGGAGGCTGAAGAGGAGGAGTTGGTCTTCCTGTCTCAGACATGGCAGAGGCGGAATAAAATCTGTGTGTGAGTGAACTCATGCAGTTCAAACCCATGATGTGTAAGGGTCAACTGTATTTATGAATTTCTTTTTCATCATTCTTTCTTATATCTCAGATCCTTCCTCTTCTCTCTAAAATATATCTTTTAAAGTTTAAGTATACGTCTGTTGGTGGTAAAGGCAGTTTTTGTTTATTTTAAATATCTTTAAGTCACCCTCATTCTTGAAAGTCAGTTTCTCCGGCTACATCAATCAATGTTTATATTCTTTTCTTTTAGTATTTTGAAAATATTACTTCAGGTTTTTGGCTCCCAGATTGCTGTGGAGCAGTCTGCTGACAGCCAAATAATTTTCCTTTATGAATGATTTGTCTTTTCCCTTTGATTACTTATAAGGTATCTTTATTACGATGTTCCAATTTCACTACTTTGTCTGCATGTCTTTTATCTTGCTTAGTATATATTTTGTTTCCCCTGTTATTTGTGGATTCACGTCTTACATCAGTTATGGGAAACTCCCAGGTATTAAATATACACCCCCATTCTTTCTGTGCCATAATTTTTAGACTCCAAATACAATGAAGTTTAGTCTTTCTTATTCTAACCTCTATACATCTTTATTATTTTTATAGTTTATCTCTTTTTCCCTGAGTTCTACTCTGAGAAATTTCTTCTTCACTTCTACCTTCCAGTTTACTAATTCTTTTTCCAGCAGTCTCCAATCTGCTGTTTAATCTATTAATTTCTCTACTTCTAAAAATTTATTTGGTATCAAAGGTATTTTAGACAGTCTCATGTTCATAATCTCAATATCTGTAACAGCCATTCTGACTGGTGTGAGATGTTATGTCACTGTGGTTTTGATTTGCAATTCTCTAATGATCAGTAATGCTGAACATTTCTTCATATGCTGGTTGGACACATGTATGTCTTCTTTTGAAGTGTCTGCTCATGTTCTTTGCCCACTTTTTAATGAAGTCGTTTGCTTTTGCTTATTATTTCAGTTTTTTATAGATTCTGGATATTAGACCTCTGTTGGATGCATAGTTTGCAAATATTTTCTCCTATTCTGCAGGTTGTCTACTTACTGTGTTGATAGTTTCTTTTGCTATGCAGAAGCTCTTCAGTTTAATTAGGTCACATTCATCAATTTTTGTTTTTGTCGCAATTGCTTTTGGCATCTTTTTCATGAAATCTTTGCTAGGGCCTATGTCCAGAATGATATTTCCTAGGTTATCTTCCAGGCTTTTTATACTTTCAGTTTTTACATTAAAGTCTTTAATTTGTCTTGAGTTGATTTTTGTATATTGTGAAAGAAATGGGTCCACTTTCAATCTTTTACATATAGCAAGCGAGTTATCCCAGCACTATTTATTGAACAGATAATCTTTTCCCTATTATTTTGTGGACTTTGTCAAAGATCAGATGGTTATGGGTGTGTGTCATCAGTTCTAGGCTCTCTATTCTGTTCCATTGGTCTATGTGTCTGTTTCTGAACCAGTACCATGGTGTTTTGGTTGCTGTGGCTTGTAGCATAGTTTGAAGCCAGGTAATGTGATGCCTCCAGCTTTGTTATCTTTTTTAAGGATTGCCTTGGCTAATCAAACTCTTTTCTAGTTTCATATGAATTTTAAAATAGTTTTTTCCTAATTCTGTGAAGAATGCCATTGGTAGTTTGATTGCAATAGCACTGCAACTGTAAATTGCTTTGGGCAGTATGGCCACTTTAATGATATTGATTCTTCCTGTCCTTGAGCATGGAATGTTTTACCATTTGTTTGTTCATCTGTAATTTTTTGGAGCAGTGTTTTGTAATTCTCATTGTTAATGCTCTCTTACCTCACTGGTTAGCAATACTCACAGGTATTTTATTCTTTTTGTGGCTATTGTGAGTGGAATTGCGTTCTTGATTTGGCTCTCTGCTTAGATGTTGGTGTATAGAAATGCTACTGATTTTTATATATTGATTTTGCATTCAGAAACTTTGCTGAAATTGTTCTTCATGTCTAGGAGCTTTTGGGCAGAGGGTTTGGGGTTTTCTAGGTATAGAATAATAACATCTGCAAAGATTTGACTTCCTCTCGTCCTATTTTGGTGCCTTCTATTTCTTTCTCTTGCCCAACTGCTCTGGCTAAGACTCCCAGTACTATGTTGAATAGGAGTGCTAAGAGTGGGCATCCTTGTCTTGTGCTGTTGTCAAGAGGAAGACTTGTAGCTTTTGCTCATTCAGTATGATGTTGGCTGTGGGTTTGTCACAGACGATTCCTATTATTTTGAGGCATGTTCCTTCAATGCCTAGTTGTGGAGGGTTTTTAACATGCAGGGAAGCTGAATTTTATCAAAAGCCTTTTCTGCATCTATTGAGATAATCATGTGGTTTTTGTGTTTAGTTCTGTTACGTGATGAATCACATTTATTGATATGTGTAGGATGAACCAACCTTGCATCCTAGGGATAATGGTTACTTGATCATGGTGGATTAGCTTGTTGATGTGCTTTTAGATTCAGTTTGCTAGTATTTTGCAGGGGTTTTTGCATCAATTTTCATCAGGAATATTGGCCTGAGGTTTTCTTTGTGTGTGTGCGTGTGTGTCTGTGTGTGTGTGCGTGTGTGTGTGTGTGTCTCTGCCACACAGAAAAGATGATATCAAGATGATGCTGGCCTCACAAAATGAATTAGGGAAGAGTCCCTCCTCTTCAATTTTTTGGAATAGTTTCAGTAGAAATGGTGCCAGCTCTTTGTACATCTGGTAGAATTCGGCCGTGAATCCACTTGGTTCTGGGCTTTTTTTGGGGTTGGTAAGCTGTTTCTTACTGATTCAATTTCAGAGCTCATTATTGGTCTGTTTAGGGTTTCCATTTCTTCCTGGTTCCATCTTGGGATGGAACTCTTTCAGTTCAACTCCGATTTTGGTTATTTCTTGTCTTCTGCTAGCTTTGGGGTTAGTTTGTGCTTGTTTCTGTAGATTTTCTAGGTGTGATATTATGTTTACTTGAGATCTAACATTTTTGATGTAGGCATTTAGATTTATAAAATTTCCTTTCACAGTGCTGGGTCCCAGAGATTCTGGTATGTTTTATCTTTGTTCTCATTAGTTTCGATACATTTCTTGATTTCTGCTTTAATTTCACTGCTTACCCAAAAGTCATTCAGCAGCAGACTGTTTTAATTTCCTTATAATTGTATGCTTTTGAGTGGTTTTCTCAGTATGGATTTCTATTTTTATTGTGCAATGGTGGTTGATATGAATTCATTTTTTAAAAGTTTGCTGAGAATTGTTTTATGATTATGTGGTCGATCTTAAAGTATGTGTCATGTACAGTTCAGAAGAATGTGTATTCTGTTGTTTTGGGGTGGAGAGTTCTGCAGATATCTGTTAGGTCCATTTGGTCAAATGACAAGTTCAGGTCCCATGTATCTTTGTTAGTTTCTTCCTCAATCATCTAATATTGTCAGTGGGGTGTTGAAGTCTCCCACTATTATTGTGTGGTTATCTAAGTCTCTTTGTAGATCTCTAAGAAGTTCCTTTATAAATCCAGGTGCTGCTGTATTAGGTACATATATATTTGGGATAGTTAAGTCTTCTTGTTGAACTGAACTCTATACCATTATGTAATGCTCTTGTCTTTTTTGATTGTTGTTGGTTTAAAAGTCTGTTTTGTCTGAAGTTGCAATAACAATCCCTGCTCTTTTTTCTTTTCTATTGTTCTTGCTAGAGCTTTCTCCATTGCTTTACTTTGAGCCTATGGATGTCACTGTATGTGAGATGGGTCTCTTGAAGACAGCATATAGTTTGGTCTTTCTTCTTATACAACTTGCCACTCTGTGCCTTTTAAGTAGACATTTAGCCTTTTTACATTCCTGTCATCATGTTGTTAAGCTGGTTATTATGCAGACTTGATTTTGTGGTTGCTTTATAGTGTCAATAGTTTATGTGCTTAAGTGTGTTTTTGTGGCAGCCGGTAACAGTCTTTCCTTTCCATATTTAGTACTCCCTTAAGGATTTCTTGTAAGGCAGGTTTGGTGGTAACGAATTTCCTTAGCATTTACTTATCAGAAAAGTATCTTATTTCTCCTTCAATTATGAAGCTTTGTTTGGCTGTATATGAAATTCTTGGTTGGAATATCTTTTTGTTAAGAATGCTGAATATAGGCTCCCAATCTCTTCTGTCTTGAAGGGTTTCTGCTCAAAGGTCTGCTGTTAGCCTGATAGGGTTCTCACTAGAGGTGAACTGCTCCTTCTCTGTAGCTGCCTTTAACATTTTTTCATTCATTTTGACTTTGGAGAATCTGAGGACTGTGTGTCTTGGGGATGGTCATCTTGCATATTGCAGGGGTTCTCTGAATTTCCTGAATTTGAATGTTGGCTTCTCTAGTGAGGTTGGGGAAATATTCATGGATGATATCCTCAAATATGCTTTCCAAATTGCTTGCTTTCTCTCCCTCTCTTTCTGAGATGTCAATGAGTTGTAGATTTGGTCTCTTTACATAATCCCATATTTCTTGGAGCCTTTGTTCATTCTTCTTTATTTTTTATTTTTGTCTGACTGAGCTATTTAGGAGAATCAGTCTTTGAGCTCTGAAATTCTTTCTTTAGCTTGGTCAATTCTGCTGTTAATGTTTGCAACTGTACTCTTGTTTTTTTTTTTTTTTTTTGAGTGAGACAGTGTCTAACTCTGTTGTTCAGGCTGCAGTGTGGTGGTGCAATCATAGCTCACCACAGTTTTGAATTCCTGGGCTCAAGTGATCCTCCCACTAAAGCCTCCCAAGTACCTGGGACTATAAGCATGCACCACTACACCCAGCTAACTTAAAAAAATTTTTTTTTGTAGAGATGGGGTAAAATTTGTGAAGTGAGTTTTTCAGCTCTGTCAGATCAATTTGGTTCTTTCTTAAAACAAGCCATTTCATCTTTTATCTCCTGTATTATTTTATTGTATTCTTTAGATTCCTTATATTGGGCTTCTACTTTCTCCTGAATCTCAATGATCTTTGTTCCTATCCATATTCTGAATTCTACTTCTGTCATTTTCAGCCTGGTTAAGAACCATTGCTGGGAACTAGTGTGGTCATTTGGAGGTGAGAAGACTGGCTTTTTGAGTTGCCGGAGTTCTTGTTCTGGTTCTTTCTCATCTGAGTGAGTTGACATTCGTTCAGTTTCTGGAGTTGCTACCCTTCGAATGGGATTTTATTTTTTTTGGCTTTTATCTTCTTTGATGCATTTGTGGGTTTGATTGTGGTATAAAGTGGGTTCAGCTGAATGGCTTTGTTTCTGGAAAATTTTAGTGGGCCAAGGCTCAGCTCAGCACTCCTGGGCTGCATGCTCTAACTCTGGGGGGTGCTGGTACCGAGCCCCTGGCTTTGTTCTCTGGCCCCTCAAGGTTAGGAACCTGCTGTGCCAAAAGGGCTGAGGTCTTCTTGGTCCACTGGCACTAACATTCTGATGGGTGGTGTCAGACAAAACACTTGACTGGGGTAGTGGCAGTTGGATCCATGCTTGCTTGCATGTGCCAGCAGCCACTCAGAGCCATGTGATGGGATGCACACACATCTGCTGGGGCAAGGTACTAGTAGGAGTGGGCTTGTGGCATTGCTCCATGCTCTTGAGCTGGCAGCAGTGGTGGTGTGGTAGGTGTGGGGTGCTGGTGGGGGGCAGGAATGCTGGACTCTGTGCACATGCATTTGCACCAACAGTGGTGTCAGCATGGTGGGGGGGCTAGTTGCTAGTGTCCGTGTGCATTTTTGCAGCAGCAATGGTGGCATGATTGGGTGCCCACATGCCAGTGGGGGCAGCAAGCATGTACTCATGCAGCAGTAGCCTGGTGGGGTACGCACACATACTGGTGGGGAGAAATGAGGTCCACTCACTCGCAAACCTTGGCAAAGCAGTGGGAAGGTGGCTGTGGACAAATGCATGCTGGCAAAGCTACGGAGGGGAGGTTCTGATGGGGGGATGTTGCAGGTAGGCTGGTGTGTGCTGGTGGGGGCCACTCTGCTGGACCCTACGATGGTCAGGAGTGGTCTGCTGGTGAGCTATGCCCCAGGAAGTACCTTGGTTGGGCATCGAGGGTGCACTGCAAGTGAGTGTGGCGAGGCTGAGGCCCTGGGAGAGGCCAGCAGTCAGGGGGACACTCACATTGGTCTGGCACCATCTCACAGGCAAGACCACCCTACTCTGTCCAGGTCTGACAGTCTTCTCAAGGCTAAAGTCTCCAGGAGGAGCACAGTGAGCCTTGAGGGATGGGCAACCCTGGCCATGCTCCACTGCAGATGTTCCCATACCAAACCATCTGGGCGCCACACAGGCTGGAGTCCTACTCCTCCCACATGTGTAAGCAGTTCACCCTGCCAGCTCAAGTGTCCATGGGGGTCATGGAATCTCCTGTTGCCAGGATTCCGGAGGCCCGTGGCAAGAGCAGGCTGCTCCTTGCCTGTTCAACTCACCCTTTCCACAGGAGCTGCTGGGGGTCATGAATGAATCCCATTACTTGGTAGCCCCACCCAGGTTTCCCAGCTCCCTTCAGCTCAGCTTCTGTGTCCTCCATCTGTCCAATCTCAATGCCTTCCCTCTGAAGATCTGCTTGGAGTGTGCCAGTCTTCCTGATGTCCAGTCTCTCCGTGGCAGATGTTCCTCCTGGCTGCATCTAGTTGGCCATCTTGGCTCCAAATCTCCATTACTGTTATTTTTAACAGCCTTTTAAGACTAGCTTCCTTCACTTAGCAATATGTATTTAAGGTTTCTCCATGTCTTTTTGTGACTTGGTATCTCATTTCTTCTTATCACTGAATAATTTCCATGATATGGAATGTACCACAGTTTGTTTATCCCTTCACCTATGGAAGGACATTTTTGGTAATTAATTTTTGGCTGTTGTAACCATTTGTGTGCAGGTTTTTGGGTGAACATAAATTGTTAACTCATTTGGGTAAATACATGAGTGTAAGTGAGGGATCATATGGTAAGCCTGTGTTTAGCTTTGGAAAACAAATGAAAAATACAACCTATCAAAATTTGTGAGATATAGCAAAAGCAGTGTTTAGAGGGAAATGTATAGCACTGAATGAATATATTAGCAAAAAAATCTGAAATTAATCATTTAAGTGTCCACCTTAGGAAACTAAAACAAAAGAGCAAATTAAATCCAAGGTAAGTAGAAGACAAGATATAAAAATTAGAGAAGTCAATGAAACTTAAAACAGGGAACAGGGAAAATCAGCACAACAAAATGCTGATTTTTTTTTGAAGAGAACAATAAAAGTGATAAGCCTCTAGCCAGACTAATCACAAAAGGAAGTGAGAAAATACTAATTACTAAATGAAAGATCATTCTCACACTGATTCTATAGACATTAAAAGGATAATTTATGACTATTATGAACAACTCTATGCTCACAAATTTGATAACCTAGATATGTTACTGAAAAACACAATCTACCAAAATTAATATAAGGAGAAACAGATAATCTGAATAAGCCTGTGTCTACTAAAGGAACCGAATCAATAACTGTTAACCTTCTAAAACAGAAAGCACCAGGCCCAGATGGCTTTAATGGTAAACTCTACCAAATATTTAAAAAATAAATGATACCAATTCTGTAAAATTTCTTCCAGAAAACAGAAGCAGAGAGAATACTTTCTAAGTCCTTCTGTGAGGCCAGCATTAACCTAATGCTCAAAAGAGAAAGATATTACAAGAAAGGAAAAGTATAGATCAATACCTCTCATGAACATAGATGCAAAAAAATCCTCAACAAAATATTAGCAGATTGAACCAAAAATACATAAAAAGAATTATACAACACAACCAAGTGTGATTTATTTCAGGTTATGCAAGTCTGGTTCAACACCTGAAAATCAACTAATGTAATTCATCACATCGACAAGCTAAAAAAGAAAAATCATGGGATCATAGCAATAGATGCAAAAGAAACAGTTGATGAAATCCAATACCCATTCATGATAAAAATTATCAGTGAACAAGAAGTAGAGGAGAACTTCCTCAACTTGATGAAGAACATCTTAAAAAAAAAAAAACCCTACAGCTAACATCATAATTAATGGTGAGATACTAGATGATCCAGGTTCATTTGGTACTTTCCCTGCCTTGGTCTTAGAATTAGCCATTTCTCTAGGGAGCTGTGGTTCTTTTAGTGTGACATGGTATTTAGAAACCAAGATAAGCATAGTGAAGTGCTCAGTATAGTGAAGGGATGTTATTGCTGTAGGCCCTTTCAGTGCACAGGGCTAGAACATACACACTCGCATGCACACACATGTATCTACATCTATTAAAAACCATGAGATCATTACAATGCCTCCAATTCTAATTCAATTCCCAGAACTGTTTTTAGCCTCCCTCATCCCATATTTATATCTCCCTTTTCTAAAATGAGAAACCTGACTCCCAGCAACATTGATATATTTACTCGTTTGTTTAGTTCAACAATACATAGAATGTAATTTCAGAATTATTTGTCTATACCCCTGAGGGGGGAAAAAAACCCAAACTACTAAAAGTTAAAGATTTGTTTATAGTCTTTGCATGTGTTTTTTTAGTTAGGATTATATAGTTAAACTACTATGTATGAAAATTTTTTAGTGAGTTTTGGAAAATATGGTTATAGTGTTCATTCAAAATACAGTTAGGTTTATTTTCTGTTTGTATTCCATTTTAGGTTCCATTTAGGGTTTTTTCCCTCATATCTGTATATTTAATTTTTTAACATATATAACATATTAATATTCCAAGTCAAAAGAACTCAGAGAGGACTGGTCCATGCTGGGGTAGGCTGAGTGGCTGTGAGGTGGGCTGTGTCATGGGGCCTCAGGCCAACCATGGCCAAGCCCTTGGTGCACAGGTAGCATGGTGTGTGCTCCAACTATAGCTGTGTCAGCATGTTATGATGGCATCCAGTACCAACCTGGCTACCAGAATCCCCAATAGTAAAGAGAAATACTCAAGGCTCTGCAGCACAGTTGATGGCTACATTGACCTTTAGTTTAAGGAAAGTCCTCCTGGCCAGTCTCGGCAGCTGACATCTATAATCCCAACACTTTCGGAGGCCAAGGCAGGAGGACTGCTTGAGGCCAGGAGTCTGAGACCAGCCTGGGCAACATAGTGAGATAAGGGATAATTATCTTATACCTTATACTTATTTCTACTGTCATGTTCCAGTGAAATACCTTGGTAAAATCAAGTATCAGGGTGGGTCCATCTGCAATATTTTTTACTTGCTTTCTTACTGACAGCAACCAGCAATTTTTTAAGCCACAGAGAAACTGTTCAAAATGTAAACACCTTCTCTGTTTACCAATCCTTGGCCAGCTCTGATTTGGTTCCCCAATAGGTTGTTCAGTATATAACTGGGTCATTCTGGCCTTTGTAGATTAAGATGTTTTGTATGTCATCCCTTTAAGAATTGGACTTTTGGCTGTTTCCTAATAAAAAATGTAGGGAAGTGGTTATCATTTAGAATTTATACCCTATTGCTAGCATCTTGTATTATGATGTCATTCTGCTGAAGATCATAAGACTCAGCCTGGATCCCTCGAGGACTAGATTGCCTTAGGTTAATTCTGTTTCTTAGTTTGCAAAAAACGACTTAAATTCAAAAGAAATTAAAATGTCAAAAAAAAATCAAGTTCAGAGAAGTGTACCTAGGAATGGAATTGTTGGGTTACAGAATATGCATATGCTTCATGTTAGGAGATCATGCCAAGTATTTTTCCAAAGTGGTTGTACCAATTTATACTTACATCATCAAGGGATGAAAGTTCCAACTGTTCCACAATATTGCCAATATTTGGTAAGGTTTTTGAAACAATTTTATTAATTTTGATGGATGTGTAATGTTATTTTCATTTCTCCAATGACAAAGGATGTTTATATTTAATAGTGAAGTACTCAGATTGGGAATAAGACAAAGAGGTCTGCTATTACTTCTTTTATTCACAATTGTGAAAGAGGTCCCAGTCAATGCAAACACATACATATATCCATATAAGATACAGGATTAGAAGGAGATAAAACTCTCCTTTTTCACAAATGACAAGATTGTGTACACAGAAAATCCAAGTTAATTTACTGATGTACTATTAGAATTAATGGATGAATATAGCAAAGTACAGTTGACTCTTGAATACAGGCTTGAATTGTGCAAGTCTGCTTATATACATTATTTTCTTTCACCTCTGCCACCTGAGACAGCAAGACCAACCCCTCCTCTTCCTCAGCCTACTCAATAAGGATGAAGACCTTTATGATAGTCCACTTCCACTTAATATATAGTAAATATATTTTATCTTCCTTATTTTTTCTTAATAACATTGCCTTTTCCTTAGCTTACTTTATTGTAACAATATAGTATAGAATACATATAACATAAAATATACGTTAATTGACTGTTTATGTTATCAGTAAGACTTCTGGTCAACAATAGGTTATTAGTAGTTAAGCTTCTGGGGAGTCAAAAGTTATACACAGATTTTTTTTTTTACTGCATAGGGGGTTAGCGCCCCTAACCCTCGCATTGTTCAAGGGTCAACTGTATTTAGATAAAGATAAATATATGAAAGTATTTCCATATATTAGTCACAATTGGAAAATAAAATTATAATAGGATAAAAAAAATGAAGTACCTAGAAATACATGTAATGAGAAATGTGTAACACCTCTATCCAGAAAACTACAAAACATTACCAAGAGAAATTAAAGAAGACCTAGGTACCTAAAAGGATACAGTATGCTTATGGATTGAAAAGATGTCAATTTTTCACAAATTGATCTATAGCAGTATGGTTCTCAAAATGTGGTCATTCTTAACATGTCTTTCACTTCATAGCTAAACTTCTGGAGACTTTGTTTACATTCTGTCTTTATCATTCCCACTTAGTCCTTCAAATATGCATCTGGATTTTTTGAATGGTGACATAATTTTTATAGTATGTGTCACATCATAAATGAACTCATAAATCAACATATCCTGGGAACTTGTTACAAATGAAAATTCTTGGGCTTCACCCAAGACCTACTGAATCTGAAATTCTGTATTTTAACAAGCCCTTCTTGTGATTCTGATACAGGCTAATGTTTAAGAACCACTGATCTACAGATTCAGTGTAATTCCAATATAATTAAATAACTTACCTCCTTTTGCTGAGTAAGTAAAGCATGATTTTAGCAAGTCTTTCTAAAAAAGGATTGGATATAAAAGTATTTGCTGCTTAATTCATAATTAAAAAATAAAAGAATAAAATAATCTAACTTTATGAGAATTCCAGCTACATTTACTATAAAATTGTATCAGAGTTTCTAAGGTAATTATAAGGTGATTTTTACAATATTTGTATGGCTGCTTTTGATATACAGAAGAGACACAGAATAATATTACTTGCATGTCATAATACTTACAGTATTAAGTAAGGTATCATACACAGCATTCACAAATTTAGCATTAATCCCAGAGTCTTCAATGGTGTTAAATGAGGCAGTGGCATCTTTCTGCAAATTCAATTTAAGAATTAAGTATATTCAACATTTTAAAGACTATTCTTAGTAAAATTTGAACCATACTATTCCTTCATAATTTTGATTATTTTTTAGTCTGATAATAAAAAAGAACTGTTAGGGCAAAATTTCTGAAAATAAAAAGAAATGTACAAAGATTATTTTAATAACTTTCTTTTTTAAAAGTGAAGGAATGGAGTTAAACATGAACATTAGAGCAAGTAAAAACAACATTTAAGGGCTGGGTGTGATGGCTTGTATCTATAATCCCAGCAACTTTGGGAGGCTGACATGGGAGGATCACCCGAGGTCGGGAGTTCGAGACCAGCCTGGCCAACATGGTGAAACCCTGTTTCTACTAAAAATACAAAAATTAGCCGGGTGTGGTGACAGGCACCTGTAATCCCAGCTACTCAGGAGGCTGAGGCACAAGAATTGCATGAACCCAGGAGGCAGAGGTTGCAGTGAGCTGAGACTGCACCACTGCATTCTAGCCTGGGCAACAGAGTGAGACTCCATCTCAAAACAAAACAAAACAACCCCCTCAAAAAACCCATATACTTATATAATATTTATAATATTACATAATTGTATGTATTGTATAATTTCTGAAATCAATACATAATATATGCATGTTTAAATCAATATTGGGTAGAAAATGAGGTAAATTTATCATTTTTGGAAAATTTAAAACTAAAAGTGAAATGAAAAGTGTGTTTTATGTATAATTACCTTAAATGCAGCATTTAATTCTGGGAAAGAATCAAACGTTGTTAGATAAAAATCATGTACTGCTTTCCAATCTCCTGATGACTTAACTTTTTCTACATCTTCCCTAAAATGAAAACACATTAACCGTATATACATATAGAAATATTATTCAGATAAACTAGTATTACTTTTTAATGTCACCAAACATGCAATACAAAATACTGAAGCCAAATAAAGAAATATGTCCCAGTTAATATAGTTTATGGATTTATAATTCTTAATTGGATTAAGATATTAATCTAGCTTCAACTTTCCCATTTACTTATTTTTAAAAAAGATCATCCTTAACATGTCGCTCAATTATCGCTCCTTCCTTCCCTTCATAGCTAAACTTCTGGAGACTTTGTTTACATTCTATCTTTATCATTCCCACTTCGTCCTTCAAATATGCATCTGGATTTTTTGAATGGTTACATAACTTTTACAGTATGTGTCACATCATAAATGAACTCTTATTTCTAAAAATGGTAACAGTCTATTATTTAATTACCACCTTTATCTCTTTTTGCCTGTTTTGACTCACAGACTCTTACTTAGTGTTTCCTTTATTTTGCTGCAGCCTATCTAACTCTTCCTGTTATTTATATATTTGTTTTCTTTCACCTTCAACTTGAGACATATAGTCTTTTGAGGTCCTCTTGGCTAATATCTTATAGTGATCCAAAAGTTAATTTCTCAAATAAAGATATTAAATTATGTAAAGTGCTGACATGCAGATGACTATACATTTACATATAATAGCTGAAACTTACTGAAAGTCTTTCACAGTTTTGGGCTGGATAGGAAGAATAGGTTCTGGAAGGACTGGGGCCTTCATTTCGGATGATGATGCATCCATAGATGTACGCTGTTTTTGTCTAACATCAAGGCAAATTGGTGGTGGTTCTCTCACTGTGAAGTATAAAAACACATTCAAAATAATGAATCATTAAACTTTTCAAAATTATAAAATACAAGATTAATTCAACATGAACAGAAAACAAATGAATTATTTTGTATTACATTCACTTTGAGATTAAAGAAAAACCAACCATAGTGAAGGACATTTACTGGAGGGCTTATTCCCCCACTTCACTCACAACACATATTAGGCTGTATCTTACATGGATGTGCATACTTAATATAGAGCTTCTTCCCTTTTTCCCTTCCCCCTCAAAATTGTTTGTTAATGTAATTTAGCATTTCTTTCCTCTCCCCTCTTCCCAAAAGTCATCTTTCCGGGGGTATTTCAATGAGGCTCAATGTTTTTAATGTTTATTAGCTTTTTGAACATAGTCACACATTGCTTAATGATGGAGACACATTCTAAGAAGCATGCCAGTAGGCAATTTTGTCACTGTGTGGACATCATACAATGTACTTACACAAACCTAGATGGTATAGCCTACTACACACTACACACCTAGGCTATATCATATAGCCTATTGCTCCCAGGCTACATATCTGTATAGCATTTTAATGTACTGAATACTGTAGACAACTGTAATACAATGATAAGCATTTGTTTATTTAAACGTATGTAAATACAGAAAAGGTATAGTAAAAATATAGTATTATAATCTAGGGGACTACTGTCATACATGTGGTCTATTCTTGACTGAAATGTCATGACTGTATATGCACTTACGTCCTCTGTAAGTCTTTTAATTTTTATTTCTGGAAACAGAAAAGTACATTATTAGATTCTGCACTTATAAAATGTTGTCATTTCAAGAATGTTATATGAAAGAAATCACACCTATGTAACCTTTTCATACTGGCTTTTAGTTAGCATAATTTTCTGGAGATTCATCCAAGTTGTTGCATATACAGATAGTTCATTTTTATTGCTTAATAGTATTCCACTATTTGGGTGTACCGCTATATGGTTAACTATTCAACCACTGAAGGACATCTGTTTTTAGGTTATTGTAAATAAAGCTGCTAGAAACATTTGTGTAGAGGTTATTGGGTAAAATAATTCCTCATTTCTTTGAGGTAAATATACGGCAGTTGCATGTTTAGTTTTCTAACAGACTGCCAAACTTGTTTTCCAGAGTGGCTGTACCATTTCACATTCCCACCAGCAATATATTAGTGATCCAGTTTCTCTACATACTCACCAGCATTTGGTGGTGTCATTATTTTTGATAGTTGCATAATATTTCTGTGTGATTTTAATTTTCATTTTCCTAATGGTTAATGAGGTTGAACAGCTTTTAATGTGCTTATTTTCCATCCATATATCTTCTTCAGTGAAATGTCTCTTTACATCTTTTGCCTGTGTTCTGACTGGATTACTTTTTTGCTGTTAAGTACTGAAAGCTCCTTATATAGTTTAGATAATAGTCCCTTGTCACTAAAATAGTTTGCAAATGTTTTCTCCACTTTGTAGCCTGTCTTTTCATCCTCTGCACAGGGTCTTTCTCAGAGCAAAACTTTTAAATTTTGATGAAGTCAAATTGATAAATTTTTCTCTTATGGATTGTACTTTTGGTGTCAAGTCTAAGAACTATTTTCTAGTTCTAGAGCCCAAAGATCGTTTCATTTTTTTTCTAAAAGTCCAATAATTTAACATTTAAGTCCATTATCCATTTTAACTTTATTTTTGTATAAGGTGTGAGTTTGGGGTTAATGTTTATTATTTTTTGTTTATAGATGTCCAATCACTCTGGCACCATTTATTGAAAAGGTTATTTTTCCTTCATTGAATTGCTTTTGGACCTTTGTCAAATTACAACTGGGCATATGCCATCAATCCTTGTATCTCTTCCTCCATGGTTATCTCAGTATGATTATTGTAGCTATATAATAAAAACCAGGTAGACTGATTCTTTCAACTTTATTCTTTTAAAAAACAGTTTTACCCATTCCAGTTCTTCCGCCTTTCCAGGTAAATCTGAAAATAATCTTATCTATATCAACAACAAAAAACATACAGGAATTTTGACAGGAAATGCATAAAGTTCCTTTTTGTATCAATTTGGGGAGAATTGGCATCTTTACTACACTAAGTGTTCTAATCCATGAACACAGTATGCCTTTACACTTACTTAGATCTTAATTTCTTTCACCAGCATGGTATGATTCTAAGCATACATATTCTGTAATGTTTGCTAGATTTAAACTTTTTATTCTTTTTTAAGTGATTACAAATGATATGCATTTTTATTTTAGTGTCCGTGTGTTCACTGTTAACATAAAGAAATATAACTGATTTTTGTATGTTTATCGTGTATTCTTCAACCATACTGAACTCACTTATTAATTCTAGGAAGGTTTTTTTTTGAGATTTCATGGGTTTTTTTTTTTTTTTGCATAGACAATTATGCCATCTGCAAATAGGGAAAGTCTTATTTCTTATTTTCTAATCTGTATGTCTTTTTTCTTCTTTTTGCCTTCTTGTATCGGCTAAAATTTGCAGCACTGAGATGAATAAGAGTAAGAGCAAACATCCTTGCATTATTCCCACTATTAAAAGGGAAAGCACTAAGTCTTTAGCCATTAAGAAAAAGGGTAAGCTTTACCAATATAAGGGTACTCCCTTTGATTCTTACCATGTTGAATAAGAGTGCTGAGAGCAGACATCCTTGTCTTGTTCCCAAACTTAAGGTAAAAGCATTCAGTCTTTCACAACTACATAAAATGTTAATTGCAGGTTTTTTCTAGATGCTGTTTATCAAGTAAAAGAAAATAGTCTCTTTTCCTATTTTTCTGGGAGTTTTAATTTTTTTCATTATGAATAGGTGTTGGATTTTGTCAAATTATTTTACTGCATGGAATCATTCTTAGCATGTTAGTATGGTGGATTACATTAATTGATATTTTTAAAACTGAACCATCTAGCATCCCTGGAGTGACCTTTTGGTCATGGTGTATAACTCTTTTTACATATTGCTGAATTTTATTTGCTAATATTTTGTCAAGGACTTCTGCCTCTATATTCATGAGGGATATTGGTCTGTAATTTTTTCTTTTATTTTTTTTAAACTATCTTTCTCTGGTTTTGTTATCAGTGTAATACCAGCTTTGTAAAACAAAAAAGAAGTGTTCCCTTTTCGTCTATTTTCTGGTAGAGATTGTACAGAAATGGTGTTAATTCTTTAAACATTTGGTAGAATTATCTTGTGAGACCATCCGGACGTGAATATTCCTTTTTTAAAGTTTTAAAACTAGAAATCCTTAGTGGTTATAAAACGAGGCAAATTAACTATTTCAAACTGGATGAGCTGCAATAGCTTTTGTTTTTTGAGGAATTGGTCCACTTCATCTGTAATTTATGTGTGTAGAGTTTGCAGTATTCCCTTATTATTTTTTCTGATGTTTACAGGGTCTGTTGTAATATCTCCTATTTCATTTATCATACTGACAATCTACCTTTTTCTGTCAGTCTTCCTAGAGGTTTATCAATTTTACTGATCTTGTCAAAGAGCCATCTCTTTGTTTCATTGATTTTCTCAATTTTTCTGTTTTCAGTTTCACTGATTTTATATTTCCTCCTTCCTGCTTGCTTTCGGTTGATTTTCTCTTCTTTTCCTACGTCCGTGAGCTAAAGGCTTAGATATTTGTTTTGAAACTTTCCCCCTTTTTGACGTATCTCAAAATAATAAGAGCTATTTATGACAAACCCACAGCCAATATCATACTGAATGGGCAAAAACTGGAAGCATTCCCTTTCAAAACTGGCACAAGACAGGGATGCCCTCTCTCACCACTCCCATTCAACATAGTGTTGGAAGTTCTGGCCAGGGCAATCAGGCAGGAGAAAGAAATAAAGGGTATTCAATTAGGAAAAGAAGAAGTCAAATTGTCCGTGTTTGCAGATGACATGATTGTATATCTAGAAAAACCCATCGTCTCAGCCCAAAATCTCCTTAAGCTGATAAGCAACTTCAGCAAAGTCTCAGGATACAAAAATCAATGTGCAAAAATCACAAGCATTCTTATACACCAATAACAGACAAACAGAGAGCCAAATCATGAGTGAACTCCCATTCACAATTGCTTCAAAGAGAATAAAATACCTAGGAATCCAACTTACAAGGGATGTGAAGGAACTCTTCAAGGAGAACTACAAACCACTGCTCAACGAAATAAAACAGGACATAAACAAATGGAAGAACATTCCATGCTCATGGATAGGAAGAATCAATATTGTGAAAATGGCCATACTGCCCAAGTTAATTTATAGATTCAATGCCACCCCCCCATCAGGCTACCAATGGCTTTCTTCACAGAATTGGAAAAAACTACTTTAAAGTTCATATGGAACCAAAAAACAGCCCGCATTGCTAAGTCAATCCTAAGCCAAAAGAACAAAGCTGGAGGCATCACGCTACCTGACTTCAAACTATACTACAAGGCTACAGTAACCAAAACAGCATGGTACTGGTACCAAAACAGAGATATAGACCAATGGAACAGAACAGAGCCCTCAGAAATAATACCACACATCTACAACCATCTGATCTTTGACAAACCTGACAAAAACAAGAAATAGGGAAAGGATTCCCTATTTAATAAATGGTGCTGGGAAAACTGGCTAGCCATATGTAGAAAGCTAAAACTGGATCCCTTCCTTTCACCTTATACAAAAATTAATTCAAGGTGGATTAAAGACTTAAATGTTAGACCTAAAACCATAAAAACCCTAGAAGAAAACCTAGGCAATACCATTCAGGACATAGGCATGGGCAAGGACTTCATGTCTAAAACACAAAAAGCAATGGCAACAAAAGCCAAAATTGACAAATGGGATCTAATTAAACTAAAGAGCTTCTGCACAGCAAAAGAAACTACCATCAGAGTGAACAGGCAACCTACAGAATGGGAGAACATTTTTGCAATCTACTCATCTGACAAATGGCTCATATCCAGAATCTACAAAGAACTCAAACACATTTACAAGAAAAAAACAAACAACCCCATCAACAAGTGGGTGAAGGATATGAACAGACACTTCTCAAAAGAAGACATTTATGCAGCCAACAGACACATGAAAAAAATGCTCATCATCATTGGCCATCAGAGAAATGCAAATCAAAACCACAATGAGATACCATCTCACACCCAGTTAGAATGGCAATCATTAAGAAGTCAGGGAACAACAGGTGCTGGAGAGGATGTAGAGAAATAGGAACACTTTTACCCTGTTTGTGGGACTGTAAACTAGTTCAACCATTGTGGAAGACAGTGTGGCGATTCCTCAAGGATCTCGAACTAGAAATACCATTTGACCCAGCCATCCCATTACTGGGTATATATTCAAAGGATTTTAAATCATGCTGCTATAAAGACACATGCACACGTATGTTTATTGCGGCACTATTCACAATAGCTAAGACTTGGAACTAACCCAAATGTCCATCAATGATAGACTGGATTAAGAAAATGTGGCACATATACACCATGGAATACTATGCAGCCATAAAAAAGGATGAGTTCATGTCCTTTGTAGGGACATGGATGAAGCTGGAAACCATCATTCTCAGCAAACTATCGCAAGGACAAAAAACCAAACACCGCATGTTCTCACTCACAGGTGGAAATTGAACAATGAGAACACTTGGACACAGGAAGGGGAACATTACACACTGGGGCCTGTTGTGGGGTAGGGGGAGGGGGGAGCGATAGCATTAGGAGATATACCTAATGTAAATGACGAGTTAATGGGTGCAGCACACCAACATGGCACATGTATACATATGTAACAAACCTACATGTTGTACACATGTACCCTAGAACTTAAAGTATTAAAAAAAAAAGACACTTTCCACCTTTCTAACGTATGCATGACTGCTATAAATTTCCCTCTCAGCACTGCTGTAGCAGTATCCCACAACTTTTGGTATGTTGTATTACGTTTTTATTTTCATTCCATCTCATCGATTTTTTAACCTCCCTTGAGACTTCATCTTTGACCAATGAATTATTTGGAAGTTGTTTAATTTCCAAGTATTTTGGAGATGCTCCTGTTATTTTCTGTTACTGATTTCTAATTTGACTATAGTCAGAAAACACACTTTACATTATCTCAATTCTTCAAAATTTCAGTTGTTTTATGGCCCAGAATATGATCCATTTTGCTGTATGTCCCACTGGCACTTGAAATGCCACGTGTATTCTGTTGTTGAGTAGAGCGTGCTGTAAATGTGCTGTTGGTTGATGGTGGCACTGAGGTATTCTATATTCTACATACTTGTTGATTTTCTAGCTAGTTCCATCAAATATACACTTACAGTTGGAGACTTCAATACCTAATTGTGGATTTTTTTGTTTCTGGGTTCAGGTCTACCAGTTTTTCTCCTGCAGTTTTTACAACTCTGCTGTTTGGTGCGTACACACTTGTGATGACTATATATTTTGGGTGATTATCCCTTTTATCATTATATAATGTTCCCCTCTGTCTCCATGAGTTTTCTTTGTTCTAAGTCCACTTTATCTGATATTAATGCAGTCATTTCTGTTTCCTTCAATTGATGTTTGCATAAAATGTCTTCCTCTATCCATTTACTTCCAACTTGCTTATACTGTTATATTTGAAGCAAATTTCTTATAAATAGAAAACAGTTGGGTCATGTTTTTGGTTTACTCTGACAATATCTTTTATTTAGACCATTTACATTTAATGTAATTTTTAATAAGGTAGAACTTAAGTCTGTGATTTTATTTTCTATGTGCTCTCTCTGCTTATCATTTCTGTTATTTTCCCTGCCTTTCTGCAGGTTAAACATGTTTTAGAATTCTCTTTTGATTTATATATAGTGTTTCTGAGAGGTTTCTCTAGATATTACATTACATATACTAATTTATCACATGCTACTCATATCGTCATTTTACCAGTTGGAATGAAGGGCAGAAATCCTACCTCCCTTACCATCCCCTGTTTATAATTTTCTTTTTGTGTGTGTGACAGGGTCTTGCTCTTTCACTCAGGATGGGGTGTGGTGGTGTGACCATAGCTAACTGCAGCCTCAAACATCTGGGCTCAAGTGATTTTCCCATGTCAGCCTCCTGAGTAGCTAGGACTACAGGCATGCACCAAAAGCCTGACTAATTTTTAAATTTTTTATGGAGACAAAGTCTCGCTACGTTCCCCAAGCTGGTCTCAAACTCTTGGCCTCAGGCCATCCTCCTGTCTTGGCCTCCCAAAACACTGGGATTACAGGTGTGAGTCACTGCACTCGGCCATAATTTTCTTAAGTATTTCCTTTACATACATTTAGAACCACGCTGGTGTTATAATTTTTGTTTCAACTACCAAATATAATTTAGAAAACATAAGAGGAGAAGAAAAGTCTATTGTATTTATCAATACTTCTGTTTATCACCTTCTTTCCCCTTTCCTCACATCTCAAGTTTCCTTCTTTTGTTTCCTTTCTGTTTAGAGAACTCCTTTATTCTTTTAGAGTAAATGTAGTGGCAACAAATTCTTAGTTTTTCTTCATCTGAAAATGTCTTGATTTCCCTTCCCTCCATTCCTGAAAAATATTTTCATCAGGTATAGGATTCTGCATTGACAGTCCTTTTAGCATTTGAAAAATTTAGTGGCATATCCTTCTGGTGGCCTCCATGGTTACTGATGAGAAATCTGTTATTTCAATGCCTTTTTTTTTGAGGTGCTGCATCTGGTGAAGGCCTTCTTGCTAACAGGGACTCTGCAAAGTCCTGAGGGGGTGCAGGGCATCACATGGTGAGGGGGCTGAGTATGCTAGCTCAAATATCTCCTCCTCTTCTTATAAAGCCACCAGTCCTATTCCCATGATAACCCATGAATCCATTAACCCATGAATGGATTAATCTATTCAAAAGAGCAGAGCCCTCATGACTCAATTACCTCTTAAAGGTCCGACCTCTCAACACTGCTACACTGGGGATTATATTTCAACATGAATTTTGGTGGAAATAAATACTCAAACTGCAGCATTTTCTTTAATGTGTCATTTTTTCCTGGCTGCTTTCAAGATCTTTTTGTTGGTCTTCAGTTTTGACAAGTTTAATTATGATGTTTCTTGCTGTGGATTTCTTTGGATTTCTTCTGAATGAGGTTTGTTTAGCTTCTTGAATCTGCAGGTTTATGTCTTTCACCAAATGTAGAAAATTTTCAGTCATAACTTGGTTACTTTTTTAGCCCTACTGTCTTTTCCTCTCCTTCTGGGACTCTGATAATAGGACTGTAACACCTTTTGTTATAGTATCTGAGGTCCCTGAGATTCTGTTGATTTTTCAGTCTATTTTCTATTGTTAAGACTGGATAATTTCTATTGTTCTGTCTTCCAGTTCATTGATTCCTATCCCCTCCATTCTGTTGTTGAGCTCATCTACAAAGCTTTTTACTTTGATTGTTGTATTTTCTCAAGTATTAATCCTTCTAAAACAACAGAATGATTAATATCTTATAGATTTTAAGGTCTATAATAATGAAATATACATATATAGAATTTAATTCTACTGTAATGTAATCAGGATATATTTTCAACTATGCAAACACAGGCATATCAATAGTCACAGAAGTAACATAGCTAATAAGGTCTTCCTTCCTTCTTTACCTACCCTCCTATTCAAGCATCTATCCTTGGCTCTACCATCAACTTTAATAAGCAAAGATAAATTTCATTAGTGTGGGGGTTTAAACTTCCATATTAGAAGATAGTATAAACATGCTAATTTTTTTATACAACAGCAATGGTTTCCAAACTTTACTGTAAATCAGAATAACCTGGAAAACTTGTTAAAACATGGACTACTGGGCTGTCCCCAAACTTTGTGATTCAGTAGGTCTGGAGTGGGGCACAAGAATTTGTATCTTTTTTTTTTATTATTATACTTTAAGTTCTGGAATACATGTGCAGAACGTGCAGGTTTGTTACATAGGTATACATATGCCATGGTGGTTTCCGGCACCCATCAACCTGTCATCTACATTAAGTATTTCTCCTAATGCTATCCCTCCCCTGGTCCCAATCCACCGAAAGGCCCCAGTGTGTGATGTTCCCCTCCCCAGGTACCTGTGTTCTCATTGTTCAACTCCCACTTATGAGTGAGAACATGTGGTGTTCGGTTTTCTGTTCCTGTGATAGTTTGCTGAGAATAATGCTTTCCAGCTTCGTCCATGTCCCTGCAAAGGACATGAACTCATCCTTCTTTATGGCTGCATAGTATTACATGGTGCATATGTGCCATACTTTCTTTATCCAGTCTATCATTGACGGGCATTTGGGTTGGTTCCCAGTCTTTGCTGTTGTGAACAGTGCTGTCATAAACATATGTGTGCATGTGTCTTTATAGCAGAATGATTTATCATCCTTTGGGTGGTAAAAGGATAAAACCCAGTAACGGGATTGCTAGGTTAAATGGTATTTCTGGTTCTAGATTCTTGAGGAATCACCACACCATCTTCCACAATGGTTGAATTTACACTCCCACCAACAGTGTAAAAGCATTCCTATTTCTCCACATCCTCTCCAGCATCTATTTCCTGACTTTTTACTGATCACCATTCTAACTGGCATGAGATGGTATCTCATTGTGGTTTGATTTGCATTTTTCTAATGACCAGTGATGATGAGCCTTTTTTCATGTTTGTTGGCTGCATAAATGTCTTCTTTTGGGAAGTGTCTGTTCATATCCTTTGCCCACTTTTTGATGGTTTTTTTTTTTCTTGTAAATCTGTTTAACTTCCTTGTAGATTCTGGATATTAGCCCTTTGTCAGATGGATAGATTGCAAACATTTTCTCTCATTCTGTAGGCTGCCTCTTCACTCTGATGATAGTTTCTTTTACTGTTTAGAAGCTCTTTAGTTTAATAAGATGCCATGTGTCAATTCTGGCTTTTGTTGCCATTGTTTTTGGTGTTTTAGCCGTGAAGTCTTTGCCCACGCCTATGTCCTGAATGGTACTGCCTAGGTTTTCTTCTAGAGTTTTCACAGTATTAGGTTTTACATTTAAGTTTTTAATCCATCTTGAGTTAATTTTTGTATGAGGTGTAAGGAAGGGGTCCAGTTTCAGTTTTCTGCATATGACTAGCCAGTTTCCCCAGCACCATTTATTAAATAGGGAATCCTTTCCCCATTGCTTGTTTTTATCAGGTTTGTCAAAGATCAGATTACTGTAGATGTGTGGCATTATTTCTGAGGTCTCTATGCTGTTCCATTGGTTTATATATCTGTTTTGGTACCAGTACTGTGCTATTCTGGTTACTGTAGCCTTGTAGTTTGAAGTGAGGTAGCAATGATGCCTCCAGCTTTGTTCTTTTTGCTTAGGATTGTCTTGACTATATGGGCTCTTTTTTGGTTCTATATGAAATGTAAAGTAGTTTTTTCTAATTCTGTGAAGAAAGTCAGTGGTAGCTTGATGGGGATAGCATTGAATCTATAAATTACTTTGGGCAGTATGGCCCATTTTCATGATATTGATTCTTCCTATCCATGAGCACAGAATGTTTTTCCATTTGTTTGTGTTCTCTCTTATTTCCTTGAGGAGTGATTTGTAGTTCTCCTTGAAGAGGTCCTTCACATACTTTGTAAGTTGTATTGCTAGGTATTTTATTATCTTTGCAGCAATTGTGAATGGGGGTCACTCATGATTTGGCTATTATTTGTGTATAGGAATGCTTGTGATTTTTGCACATTGATTTTGTATCCTGAGACTTTGCTGAAGTTGCTTATCAGCTTAAGGAGATTTCTGGCTGAGAGGATGGACTTTTCTAAATATACAATCATGTCATCTACAAACATGATTTGACTTCCTCTCTTCCTATTTAAATGTCCTTTATTTCTCTCACTTGCCTGATTGCCCTGGCCAAAATTTCCAATAATATGTTTATAGGAGTAGTAAGAGAGGGCGTCCTTGTCTTCTGTCAGTTCTTAAAGGGAATGCTTCCAGCTTTTACCCATTCAGTATGATATTGACTGTGGGTTTGTCATAAATAGTTCTTATTATTTTGAGAAACACTCCATCAATACCTAATTTATTGAGAGATTTTAGTATAAAAAAGTGTTGAATTTTATCGAGGCCTTTTATACATCTATTGAGGTAATTAAGTGTTTTTTGTCATTGGTTCTGTTGAAATGGATTACGTTTATTGATTTGTGTATGTTGAACCAGCCTTGCATTCCAGGGATGAAGCCAACTTGATCGTGGTGGGTAAGTTCTCTCACGTGGTAGATGAGCTTTTTGATGCGCTGCTACATTTGGTTTGCCAGTATTTTACTGAGGATTTTCATATCCATGTTCATCAGGGATATTGGCCTGAAATTTTCTTTTTTTGTTGTGTCTCCGCCAGGTTTTGGTATCAGGATGATGCTGACCTCATAAAGTGAGTTAGGGAGGAGTTCCTCTTTTTCTGTTGTTTAGAATAGTTTCAGGTGGAATGGTAACAGCTCCTCTTTGTATCTCTGGTAGAATTCACCTGTCAATCTGTCTGGTCCTGGGCTTTTTTTGGTTGGTAGGCTATTAATTACTGCCTCCATTTCAGAACTTGTTATTGGTCTATTCAGAGATTCGACTTCTTCCTGGTTTAGTCTTGGGAGTGTGTATGTGTCCAGGAATTTATCCATTTCTTCTAGATTTTCTAGTTTATTTGCATAGAGGTGTTCATAGTATTCTCTGATGGTAGTTTGTATTTCTGTGGGATCAGTGGTGATATCCCCTTTATCGTTTTTTATTGTGTCTATTTGATTCTTCTCTCTTTTCTTCTTTATTCGTCTGGCTAGTGGTCTATCTAGTTTGTTAACCTTTACAAAAAACCAGCTCCTGGACTCATTGATATTTTTGAAGGGTTTTTCATGTCTCTATCTCCTTCAGTTCTGCTCTAAACTTAGTTATTTGTCTTCTGCTAGCTTTTGAACTTGTTTGCTCTTGCTTCCCTAGTTCTTTTAATTATGATGTTAGGGTGTCAATCTTAGATCTTTCCCACTTTCTCCTGTGGGCATTTGGTGCTATAAATTTCCCTCTGAACACTGCTTTAGCTGTGTCCCAGAGATTCTGGTACGTTGTGTCTTTGTTCTCGTTGGTTTCAAATAACTTACTTATTTCTGCCTTAATTTCGTTAGGTACCCAGTAGTCATTCAGGAGCAGGTTGTTCAGTTTCCATGTAGTTGTGCGAGTTTCTGAATCCTGAGTTCTAATTTGATTGCACTGTGGTCTGAGAGACTGTTTATTATGATTTCCATTCTTTTGCATTTGCTGAGGAGTGTTTTACTTCCAATTATGTGGTCAATTTTAGAATAAGTGCAGTGTGGTGCTGAGAAGAATTTATATTCTTTTGATTTGGGGTGGAGAGTTCTGTAGATGTCTATTAGGTCTGCTTGGTCCAGAGTTGAGTTCAGGTCCTGAATATCCTTGTTAATTTTCTGCCTTGTTGATCTAATATTGACAGTGTGATGTTAAAGTCTCCCACTATCATTGTGTGGGAGTCTAAGTCTCTTTGTAGGTCTCTAAGAATTGCTTTATGACTCTGGGTACTCCTGTATTGGGTGCATATGTATTTAGGATAGTTAATTCTTCTTGTTGCATTGATCCCTTTACCATTATGTAATGCCCTTCGTCTTTTTGGATCTTTGTTGGTTTAAAGTCTGTTTCATCAGAGACTAGGATTGCAACCCTTGCTTTTTTTTTTCTTTTTTTTTCTTTTTTTTTTTGCTTTCCATTTGTGTGGGAAATATTCCTCCATCCCTTTATTTTAGCCTATGTGTGTCTTTGCACATGAGATGGGTCTCCTGAATACAGCACACCAATGGGTCTTGACTCTTTTTCCAATTTGCTAGTGTGTGTCTTTCAACTGGGGCATTTAGCCCATTTACATTTAAGGTTAATATTGTTATGTGTGAATTTGATCGTGTCATTATGATGCTAGCTGTTTATTTTGCCCATTGGTTGATGCAGTTTCTTCATAGTGTCAATGGTCTTTACAATTTGGTATGTTTTTGCAGTGGCTGGTACCAGTTTTCCTTTCCATATTTAGTGCTTCCTTCAGGAGCTCTTGTAAGGCAGGCCTGGTGGTGACAGAATCTCTCAGCATTTGCTTGTCTGTAAAGGATTTTATTTGTCCTTTGCTTAGGAAGCTTAGTTTGGCTGGATATGAAATTCTGGGCTGAAAATTCTTTTCTTTAAGAATGTTGAATATTGGCCCCCACTCTCTTCTGGCTTGTAGGGTTTCTGCAGAGAGATATGCTGTTAGTCTGATGGGCTTCCCTTTGGGGGTAACCTGACCTTTCTCTCTGGCTGCCCTTAACATTTTTTGCTTCATTTCAACCTTGGTGAACCTGACAATTATGTGTCTTGGGGTAGCTCTTCTCAAGGAGTATCTTTGTGGTGTTCTCTGTATTTCCTGAATTTGAATGTTGGCCTGTCTTGCTTAGGTTTGCGGAAGTTCTCCTGGATAATATCCTGAAGGGTGTTTTCCAACTTGGTTCCATTCCTCCCGTCACTTTCAGATACACCAAAAAAACGTAGGTTTGGTCTCTTCACATAGTCCCACATTTCTTGGAGGCTTTGTTCGTTCCTTTTCATTCCTTTTTCTCTAATCTTGTCTTCACACTTTATTTCATTATGTTGATCTTCAATCTCTGATATCCTTTCTTCTGCTTGATCAATTCAGCTATTGATACTTGTGTATGCTTCATGAAGTTCTCATGCTGTTTTTCAGGTCCATCAGGTCATTTATGTTCTTCTCTAAACTCGTTATTTTGGTTAGCAATTCCTCTAACCTTTTATCAAGGTTCACAGCTTCCTTGCCTTGGGTTAGAACGTGCTCCTTTAGCTCGGAAGAGTTTCTTATTACCCACCTTCTGAAGCCTACTTCTGTCAATTCGTCAAACTCATTCTCCATCCAGTTTAGTTCCCTTGCTAGTGAGGAGTTGTGATCCTTTGGAGGGGAAGAGGCGTTCTGGTTTTTGGAATTTTCAGCCTTTTTGCACTGGTTTTTCTTCATCTTCGTGGATTTATCTATGTTTGGTCTTTGAGGCTGGTGACCTTTGGATGGGGTTTTTGTGTGGACATCCTTTTTGTTGATGTTGATGCTATTCCTTTCTGTTTGTTAGTTTTCCTTCTAACAGTTAGAAGGAAAGGTCTGCTGGAGTTTGCTGGAGGTCCACTCCAGACCCTGTTTGCCTGGGTATGGCACAGCAGAGGCTGCAGAACAGCAAAGGTTGCTGCCTGTTCCTTCCTCTGGAAGCTTTGTCCCAGAGGGGCACCTGCCAGATGCCAGCTGGAGCTCTCCTGTATGTGGTGTTGGTCAACCCCTGCTGGGAGGTATCTCCCAGTCAGGACACATGGGTGTCAGGGACCCACTTGAGGAGGCAGTCTGTCACTGGTGTTCTAGGCGCCACTGGGTTATAAAAAAAAAAATTCCTGCAGCAAGTTCGGTGTCTGCTCAAATGGCCACCCAGTTTTGTGCTTGAATCCCAGGGCCCTGGTGGCATAGGCACCCAAGAGAATCTCCTTGTCTGTAGGTTGTAAAGACCATGGAAAAAGTGTAGTATCTGGGCCGGAGTGCACCGTTCCTCAGGGCACAGTCTCTCACGACTTCCCTTGGCTAGGGGAGGGATTTCTCTGATCCCTTGTGCTTCCCGGATGTGGCAAAGCCTCACCTTGCTTCAGCTTGCCCCCCACAGTCTGCACCCACTGTCTAACCAGTCCCAGTGAGATGAGCTGGGTACCTCAGTTGGAAATGCAGAAATCACCTGCCTTCTGCGTTGATCTCACTGGGAGCTGCAGACCGGAGCTGTTCCTATTCGGCTGACTTGCCAGCCACTCCCTCTTCTTTCATTGTATAATGTCTAAACTGAGGCCCAGGGACTTTAATTGCTTATCTAAAGTTAAAAATTTCACAACCCAGCCAGCAATATGACCCAGTCCCATACTTCTAAGACTGCTTTTTCATTACTTATTACTTATTTAATTAAAAATTATTTATATTGAAACTCAAGGCACAGCATTTTGCAAGAGCGTGTAACCAGCAGCAAACTTTTTTATATCACTATTTCCTCTCTAGTGGCAGAGGGATAAGGAAGGGAAGCCCAGGTTCTTCCTACTGAACCTCCAATCTTCATAGACTCTTCTTTACCTCCAATACTGCTGTTGCCATCTGTGCTGGCTAGCCAGGAACAGTTATCAATCCCCTAATCATGTGGCCAATTCAAAATGTCAGTCTTTGTTTTGTCGGGTGTAGTTGTAGAAAGCTGCATTTTCCAAGTTTCCAACGAGAGTTGTGACGTCTGTGAAAACAGTGAGCTAGCAAAATTTGGCTGATAATCTCACACCCTTACACATAGTTATATTCTGATCTTTACATTTTTGAATATACTGCCAACCCCTACCACAGCCCTTATTCTTCTTACATTGGCTTCTAGTGTTTTACTTAATGTTTCTAAGCAACCAGCTAAAATTGGCAACAGTATATTAAAAGAAAGGGAAAACGATTACTGCTTATCAGTTCAGCACAGTGTTCATAAGTTCGCTGAATGAACCCTAAATGATAGATTTTCACTGATAAATATATTTTGGCTTTTTTCACTGTATTATGATATTCTGTATTGCAGAAAAAGTTGCATATGATAGAACAAAGATTTGCCTCTATTTATAATGTCAGTTTGAGGTCTAATTAATCCCTCATCACCATGGTTATTGATTTTCTCTTTTTGAATTATATTTTAAGAATCATCTGTGAGAACAGGCAGAAAGCCTGTCTCTGGAAACAATGCCTTGATATTCAGGGACTTGAGAACAGCTGCAGTCTGTTATTTTTCTTTTCTTAATAGCTGAATGTCGCATCCTGTAGTTTGGTTTTCATTCACTAATCTGAGCAAAGGATTCTGCCTTTCTTTCTAATTCAAGTTCCATTAACATAGTGTGTTAACATTCTGCATGACTCTTCAGTTTAAGTTACCTTTTCAACTAAAAATAAATCCCATCTGGGCTTCTGGTTTCTAAACTTACCCTATAATCCTCTTGGCCTTGGCATTACTATTTCTCTTATGTAAGAATCTCTCCACTCTCAGGCTCTGCCAAAATCCAGTTCTTTTACTAATTCAAATTTCACTCTTCCACCTCAACATGGTATTAATAAAATGAGTGGATATAAAACTGTGTATATATGCTCTGTGTGTGAATAAGTTAATTTATATTTGAATGAATCTGTTTGTATTTAATTGTAGGTGTTTATAGCCAGGTTGGGAAAAAGTGTGTGGGAAGGGATAAGAAAGGGTAAGTAAGCCTGGTAAAGAGGAAGAAAAACTCTATAGGAGCCACAAAAAATAATAGTAATAAGACTGGTGTTGAAGAGAGGAGATGACTATCATTTATTTATTTTCTGCTGCTGAGATGCCCTTTTCTTTCCCTTTCATAAAGATTACCAAATATAATCTATAAGAAGCCATTTGTGGAGATACCTAATTTTACTTATTTGTAAATTGAACCTCTGTCCAATTAGTGTTTGCAGTAGAAATTACTAGACATTGGATGTTGCCATATTTAATAAAGGATATAAAATTGTAACACTGAAGTAGATTTAATAAACTCTTCTGTGTCATCAGCACCATTGTTCTCTCATTTAAAACCATGGAAGAGTGTTTCGTAGTATTTTGTGCAGACTAGCAACATCAGCATCATCTGGGAACATCTAGAAATACAAATTCTTCCTGGGGGAAGGGGCGACTGTTTGTGCAGCTTCAGCAGACTTAAGCATTCCTGCCTGCCAGCTGTGAAGAGAGCAGGAGGATCTCCCAGCACAGCGCTCAAGCTCTGCTAAGGGACAGACTGCCTCCTCAAGTGGGTCCCTGACACCCATGTGTCCTGACTGGGAGATACCTCCCAGCAGGGGTTGACCAACACCACATACAGGGGAGCTCCAGCTGGCATCTGGCAGGTGCCCCTCTGGGACAAAGCTTCCAGAGGAAGGAACAGGCAGCAACCTTTGCTGTTCTGCAGCCTCTGCTGTGCCATACCCAGGCAAACAGGGTCTGGAGTGGACCTCCAGCAAACTCCAGCAGACCTTTCCTTCTAACTGTTAGAAGGAAAACTAACAAACAGAAAGGAATAGCATCAACATCAACAAAAAGGATGTCCACACAAAAACCCCATCCAAAGGTCACCAGCCTCAAAGACCAAACATAGATAAATCCACGAAGATGAAGAAAAACCAGTGCAAAAAGGCTGAAAATTCCAAAAACCAGAACGCCTCTTCCCCTCCAAAGGATCACAACTCCTCACTAGCAAGGGAACTAAACTGGATGGAGAATGAGTTTGACGAATTGACAGAAGTAGGCTTCAGAAGGTGGGTAATAAGAAACTCTTCCGAGCTAAAGGAGCACGTTCTAACCCAAGGCAAGGAAGCTGTGAACCTTGATAAAAGGTTAGAGGAATTGCTAACCAAAATAACGAGTTTAGAGAAGAACATAAATGACCTGATGGACCTGAAAAACAGCATGAGAACTTCATGAAGCATACACAAGTATCAATAGCTGAATTGATCAAGCAGAAGAAAGGATATCAGAGATTGAAGATCAACATAATGAAATAAAGTGTGAAGACAAGATTAGAGAAAAAGGAATGAAAAGGAACGAACAAAGCCTCCAAGAAATGTGGGACTATGTGAAGAGACCAAACCTACGTTTTTTTGGTGTATCTGAAAGTGACGGGAGGAATGGAACCAAGTTGGAAAACACCCTTCAGGATATTATCCAGGAGAACTTCCGCAAACCTAAGCAAGACAGGCCAACATTCAAATTCAGGAAATACAGAGAACACCACAAAGATACTCCTTGAGAAGAGCTACCCCAAGACACATAATTGTCAGGTTCACCAAGGTTGAAATGAAGCAAAAAATGTTAAGGGCAGCCAGAGAGAAAGGTCAGGTTACCCCCAAAGGGAAGCCCATCAGACTAACAGCATATCTCTCTGCAGAAACCCTACAAGCCAGAAGAGAGTGGGGGCCAATATTCAACATTCTTAAAGAAAAGAATTTTCAGCCCAGAATTTCATATCCAGCCAAACTAAGCTTCCTAAGCAAAGGACAAATAAAATCCTTTACAGACAAGCAAATGCTGAGAGATTCTGTCACCACCAGGCCTGCCTTACAAGAGCTCCTGAAGGAAGCACTAAATATGGAAAGGAAAACTGGTACCAGCCACTGCAAAAACATACCAAATTGTAAAGACCATTGACACTATGAAGAAACTGCATCAACCAATGGGCAAAATAAACAGCTAGCATCATAATGACACGATCAAATTCACACATAACAATATTAACCTTAAATGTAAATGGGCTAAATGCCCCAGTTGAAAGACACACACTAGCAAATTGGAAAAAGAGTCAAGACCCATTGGTGTGCTGTATTCAGGAGACCCATCTCATGTGCAAAGACACACATAGGCTAAAATAAAGGGATGGAGGAATATTTCCCACACAAATGGAAAGCAAAAAAAAAAGAAAAAAAAAAAAAAAAAAAAAGCAAGGGTTGCAATCCTAGTCTCTGATGAAACAGACTTTAAACCAACAAAGATCCAAAAAGACGAAGGGCATTACATAATGGTAAAGGGATCAATGCAACAAGAAGAATTAACTATCCTAAATACATATGCACCCAATACAGGAGTACCCAGAGTCATAAAGCAATTCTTAGAGACCTACAAAGAGACTTAGACTCCCACACAATGATAGTGGGAGACTTTAACATCACACTGTCAATATTAGATCAACAAGGCAGAAAATTAACAAGGATATTCAGGACCTGAACTCAACTCTGGACCAAGCAGACCTAATAGACATCTACAGAACTCTCCACCCCAAATCAAAAGAATATAAATTCTTCTCAGCACCACACTGCACTTATTCTAAAATTGACCACATAATTGGAAGTAAAACACTCCTCAGCAAATGCAAAAGAATGGAAATCATAATAAACAGTCTCTCAGACCACAGTGCAATCAAATTAGAACTCAGGATTCAGAAACTCGCACAACTACATGGAAACTGAACAACCTGCTCCTGAATGACTACTGGGTACCTAACGAAATTAAGGCAGAAATAAGTAAGTTATTTGAAACCAACGAGAACAAAGACACAACGTACCAGAATCTCTGGGACACAGCTAAAGCAGTGTTCAGAGGGAAATTTATAGCACCAAATGCCCACAGGAGAAAGTGGGAAAGATCTAAGATTGACACCCTAACATCATAATTAAAAGAACTAGGGAAGCAAGAGCAAACAAGTTCAAAAGCTAGCAGAAGACAAATAACTAAGTTTAGAGCAGAACTGAAGGAGATAGAGACATGAAAAACCCTTCAAAAATATCAATGAGTCCAGGAGCTGGTTTTTTGTAAAGGTTAACAAACTAGATAGACCACTAGCCAGACGAATAAAGAAGAAAAGAGAGAAGAATCAAATAGACACAATAAAAAACGATAAAGGGGATATCACCACTGATCCCACAGAAATACAAACTACCATCAGAGAATACTATGAACACCTCTATGCAAATAAACTAGAAAATCTAGAAGAAATGGATAAATTCCTGGACACATACACACTCCCAAGACTAAACCAGGAAGAAGTCGAATCTCTGAATAGACCAATAACAAGTTCTGAAATGGAGGCAGTAATTAATAGCCTACCAACCAAAAAAAGCCCAGGACCAGACAGATTGACAGGTGAATTCTACCAGAGATACAAAGAGGAGCTGTTACCATTCCACCTGAAACTATTCTAAACAACAGAAAAAGAGGAACTCCTCCCTAACTCACTTTATGAGGTCAGCATCATCCTGATACCAAAACCTGGCGGAGACACAACAAAAAAAGAAAATTTCAGGCCAATATCCCTGATGAACATGGATATGAAAATCCTCAGTAAAATACTGGCAAACCAAATGTAGCAGCACATCAAAAAGCTTATCCACCACAATCAAGTTGGCTTCATCCCTGGAATGCAGGGCTAGTTGAACATACACAAGTCAATAAATGTAACCTATCACTTAAAAAGAACCGATGACAAAAACCACACAATTTTCTCAATAACTACCGAAAAGTCCTTCAATAAAATTCAACACCCCATTCATGCTAAAAACTCTCAATAAACTAGGTATTGATGGGATGTTTCTCTTAATAAGAGCTATTTATGACAAAGCCGCAGCTAATATCATACTGAATGGGCAAAAGCTGGAAGCATTCCCTTTTAAAACTGACACAAGACAAGGATGCTCTCTCTCACTACTCTTATTCAACATATTATTGGAAATTTTGGCCAGGGCAGTCAGGCAAGAGAAAGAAAGGGCATTTAAATAGGAAGAGAGGAAGTCAAATTGTCTCTGTTTGCAGATGACATGATTATATATTTGGAAAACCCCATCATCTCAGCCCAGAATCTCCTTAAGCTGATATGCAACTTCAGCAAAGTCTCAGGATACAAAATCAGTGTGCAAAAATCACAAGCATTCCTATACACCAAATATAGACAAACAGAGAGCCAAATCATCAGTGAACTCCCATTCATAACTGCTACAAAGAGAATAAAATACCTAGCAATACAACTTACAAAGGATGTGAAGGACCTCTTCAAGGAGAACTACAAACCACTGCTCAAGGAAAGAAGAGAGGACACAAACAAAGGGAAAAACATTCCATCCTCATGGATAGGAAGAATCAATATTGTGAAAATGGCCATACTGCCCAAAGTAATTTATAGATTCAATGCTATCCCCATCAAGCTACCATTGACTTTCTTCACAGAATTAGAAAAAACTACTTTACGTTTCATGTGGAACCAAAAAGAGCCTGTATAGCCAAGACAATCCTAAGCAAAAAGAACAAAGCTGGAGACATCACACTACCTGACTGCAAACTATACTACAAGGCTACAGTAACCAAAACAGCATGATACTGGTACCAAAACAGATATATATATATAGACCAATGGAACCGGATAAAGGTCTCAGAAATAATGCCACACATCTACAATAATCTGATCTTTGACAAATCTGACAAAAACAATCAATGGGGAAAGGATTCCCTATTTAATAAATGGTGCTGGGAAAACTGGCTAGCCATATGCAGAAAACTGAAACTGGAATCCTTCCTTACACCTCATACAAAAATTAACTCAAGATGAATTAAAGACTTAAGGATTAAACCTAAAACCATAAAAACCCTAGAAGAAAACCTAGGCAATACCATTCAGGACATAGGCGTGGGCACAGACTTGATGACTAAAACATCAAAAGCAATGGTAACAAAAGCCAAAATTGACAAATGGCATCTAATTAAACTAAACAGCTCCTGCACAGCAAAAGAAACTATCATCAGAGTGAAGAGGCAACCTACAGAATGGAGAAAATGTTTGCAATCTATCCATCTGACAAAGGGCTAATATCCAAAATCTACAAGGAACTTCAACAAATTTGCAAGAAAAATCAACCTACTCCATCAAAAAGTGGGCAAAGGATATGAACAGACACCTCTTAAAAGAAGACATTTATGTAGCCAACAAACATATGAAAAAAAGCTCATCATCACTCGTCATTAGAGAAATGCAAATCAAAACCACAATGAGATACCATCTCATGCCAGTTAGAATGGCGATCAGTAAAAAGTCAGGAAACAACAAATGCTGGAGAGGATGTGGAGAAACAGGAACGCTTTTACACTGTTGGTGGGAGTGTAAATTAGTTAAACCATTGTGGAAGACAGTGTGGCGATTCCTCAAGGATCTACAACCAGAAATACCATGTGACCCAGCAATCCCATTAATGGGTATATACCCAAAGGAAGATAAATCATTCTACTATCAAGACACACACACATGTTTATTACAGCACTGTTCGCAATAGCAAAGACTGGGAACCAACCCAAATGCCCATCAATGATGGACTGGATAAAGAAAATATGGCACATATGCACCATGGAATACTATGCAGCCATAAAGAGGGATGAGTTCATGTCCTTTGCAGGGCATGGATGAAGCTGGAAACCATCATTCTCAGCAAACTAACATAGGAATAGAAAACCAAACACTGCATGTTCTCACTCGTAAGTGGCAGTTGAACAATGAGAACACATGGACACAGAAAGGGGAACATCACACACCAGGACCTGTCAGTGAGTGGGGGACTAGGGAAGGGATAGCATTAGGAGAAATACTTAATGTAGATGACGGGTTGATGGGTGCAGGCAACCACCATTGCACGTGTATACCTATGAAACAAACTTGCACGTTCTGCACATGTATCCCAGAACTTAAAGAAAAAAAAAAAGATGGCTTAAGTCAGTTGTTCCTAAGGTTTCAAAAAAGAACTTCAAGGTCTACCTGAGGGGAATGGTGCTGAATGAATAGGTTTACTCACAGCAACTCTGCTTAATATAATTATGCTCTAATAAATTGTTTTTTTAAAAAAAGTGTTTTGTCACAATCAAAAACAAGAACAAAAATAAGTTTAAAACCACTAGTTTATATCATTTCTTAGATCACTTTCATCTCTACAACTATTCAAGAACAAAATGGAAAAGACTCATAAACCTACCAAAAAGTTTTAAAATTCTCTAATAGTGTGACCTAGATAACGGCCTGTAATAGAGAAATTCAGGAAGTATGGAAACTTACAATGTATATGTCATCTATTATAAAAAACTGATTTTTAATTATGAATTTCTACCTTAAACACAGTATAAGAAAATATCTGAAAACAACAAAAAAAACAAAACAACCAAAAAAAAAAAAAAAAAAAGAACAACCATCCAACCAAACTTGTCTTCTTTTTCTGGATCTACATTATGTCTGTACATTATTTTATACTCCCCCCAACAAAGGATGGAGTCTAATTCGCCTCCCTTTGAATATAAGCCAGGCTTAATGACTCCTTGCTAATCAACAAAAGTGGCAGAAGTGAAGCTGCATGAGTAGGTTATTAAAAGGCAATAACATTTGTGCTTGGCTCTCTCTTTTGAGATGTTTGTCTTTGGAATTCCGTCACCATGCTGTGAGGATGCCAAGAGCCACCTGAAAAAGGCCATATGTAGGTGTTTCATCTAAGGTCCAAGCCTACAACCAGCATCAATCATCAGGCATGGGAATGATCAAGCCTTCAGGTGATTCCAGCTCTCAGTATTCAAGCCCCCTCAGCTAATGCTCAGGAGAACCAAGATGAGCTTTCCCCACTGATCTCCACACAAATTACATATTTGTGAATAAAATAAACATTGCTGGTATTTTAAGCCACTAAGTTTAGGGGAGGTTTATTATTATATATTCAATAGATACTGGAACATGTATAAACAGAAATCACGTAATCTCTCAGAATCTCATACTCCTTATCTGTTAAAGAAACAAAGGGAGGTTTTTCAGGTTAAGATGTCAGACTGAGCATATTTTAATTCCTCCCGAAATTCCACTTTAACTACAGTAAAAGGTTCTGTTGTTGTTTTAAAGATATAAGTCTATAAGGACAAACAGAACAGGTGAAATAGCCATAGCCTCAAAGGTAAAAAGAAGCAGAGATGTCAGTGAAAACTGGTTTAGTAGACCTGAGACAGCTAAATACCAAGCCCCAATAAGGAAATCACAAAGTAACTGATTTATACTGCAGAATTCTTAAAGGGCACAGAATCAGGAACTGGGAATATAACGGGGAAGGCAAAAATAAGAACTATGGTAAAAACTGAATAAAAAGTTAGCTCCCTAGATCTCTTCCTTGCCACTACATGACTATCCCTCCTCCATCCCTACTCAAGCAAAAGTCTGGAAATTCCTATTATTTGGAGAGGGTAAAAAAGAGGTGCTTTGGACTAGGGAATGCCAGACACAGATGAGGTTATAAAAACTATACCAAGACATAGTGGCAGTAAACAACTAATTACTGAATACTAAGTGATTGACCAATCAAGAGAGACTCCCAATCTCCTTCTCCCCACAAACAGAATACTTACCCTGCCCCTCCCTCAGACAGAAGACTGGAAGACACTTTCGTGGGGAATCTGATTAGGCTAAGAAGAAATAACTAAAGACACGGACATCAGGGTTCCTCAATCAACAGGCTACCCAAATCGCCTCATAATAAAGCTTATGGTTAACAAATCTTATTTATGCCTCACCTTCCAATCATCCATCTTGGTTCCCTCATTAACCATGAGCAGAAAATCAAAGACTACCAAACTTCTGATGACAGCCTCCAATATGGAGGACAGAGACCAAAACAAACAGACAAAAGCAACGTGGAAGAATCAGACACCATGCAGGGAGAAGAAAAAAATTTTTAAACTTATTACTAGCTTTCTCAGAGGAATAAAAGATAGTATAACCATGAAATAAAAGGGTACTATAAAAAAGAAAGATTCAGAGGGGAAATAATTCTTCACAATTAAAGGCATAACAGCAGAAGTAAGATACTCAATAGAAGAGTTTTGAGAATATTCCCTAAATCATAAAGCAAAAGAGAAGAGAAATACAAGTAAAAAAGAAAATTAGGAGTCCAGAAAGTCTGGCTTTTGAATAACAGGAGATCCAGAAAGAAAGGATAGAAAATACAGAGGAGAGAAAATCATCAACAAAATAATTCAAGAAAATTTTCTGGAATTTAAGGACATGAAGCTGCTAGACCGAGTATATAGCACAAGGGATGAATACAAACCTCACACCAAGGCACAACACTGTGCAATTTCAAAACTTCCAAGATAAGAGATGGCTCAACAAGCTTCGAGAGAGACAGAGACAGAGGTAGAGAGACATCTGATTCAAAGGAACAGGAATCACAGCGGCCTGAGGTGGCAGCTGCACTCCATACAGACTGGAACTGAGTGGCCTGAAATTTAGCAATGTTGATACTTGTCATCACCAAGACCCTGACTGCCTTTGTACTCTTTTTTAACTGAAGACAGAATGTACAGATGAGCCTACTTCTTATTCCTGGCTTGCCAGCGGGGTCATGAAGTCCCTGCTCTCCTCTTTCTCTGCTGACTCAGCTGAGGACACTCAGGTCACCTCACAGATTGAACCTATAGTACTCTTGACAGTTGGAGGAGTCTTTCTGACAGACATCTAATAGTCTCAACTGCAGCTCTGCCACATGTCCCAAGAGGTGTCCTTTGCTTCTCAGGACTCATTCACACAGAGGGAACTATAAAAAAGGGAACAATAGTTAACCTCTGGACAGAAGGGTAGGGCAAAGTGATTGGGGTGGGTTCCCTGGGGCTTTTATAGTGCCAGTAGTGCTCTTGATTGCTGAGTTCTTGGGTTTTAATTTTATTATTAAAATGTATAAAATGTTGATTATAGTCTTCTGCATGTATAACACATTTTGGATTTTTAAAATGTGTGCCATCAGTTGCTAAGAGTAATGTTCCTGCCCCATGATACCTTCCTCCACAACTAAACTGCTCATCTACATACATTGTCATAACATGTACTGAACTTCCTAAGATATAGAATTACTTTTTAAATGCTTTCATACATATCTTTACAACTTCATAAGGTAGCTTCTTTATCACCCAGTTTTACAGATGAGAAAATAAGCACAGAGAGGTTAAATAAATTTTCTAGGATTGTACAGTTTGTATGTTACGGAGCTAGAATTCAAACCCAGCCTGAGAAGCTACAAAACTCATGTTATTCCCACTATTGAACAATGCCAAACCTTATACTATGTATAAAAACAAATAATAAAATGGAAAACTAAATTCACATGGGTGTAGGAGCCATTAAACTATAAGATGTCCCAAAAAAAGAAGAACAAAAAAAATTCAACAAGCATCAAGCAAAATCAATATAGTGGAAAATTAACCATTTAAATAATAAAACGTAGGTGTAAAATGGCACTTTACGACTCAAGATGCCCAATTTCCTCATTCTATAAATGTTTTGACAAAATAAAAAACAAGAGGGCTAAGTTATCTGTTTAAGGTCACATTGGTGGTTACAGGTAGTAGTTGAGTCAAAGACTCAGTTCTTAACTGACAACGTGTGAGTACCAGCCAGGTAATAATAAATGAGCTACAAGTTGAAGGATCCCTGTATCAGTTTAGTACTTTGGTACTGCTTATGACTGCTTCAGTAGTGGCAGGCAGCTGAAACAAGGAAAGACCAGAATGGATTAGTCATAACAAGTGGTTTTTACATCATTGTCTATAGGATGACTTTTCTGAACATTTGGCAAAAAATAAAATTGAAGGTGGGAGAGAGAAAGGAAGAAAGACAGGAAAAAAAAAGTCTGACTCACAGGACTTTAGCCATCAGAGCCAAATAAAGCAAATACATTCATTAGATTTTAGAGATGTACTTTTTACTAAGTTCAATGATGTGTGTTTATAAAACTGTAATAAAAGAAAGGGTGAAATGTTCTTTTATGAGCCTAGTTATAGAAATATTTGAAAGTCCCCTCTCTATAAAGTTATCTTTAGTGAAACAGATGTCTTAATCTGGACATACCTTACAGAATTTATTACAGCCTTGAGATGGGTTTGACATTCCAACAGGGTAAACATGCCAGAAACCCAGAAAAAGTGCCTCCCATTCATTACCTTATTCAGTAAATTATTAACTAAGTATAGACTACATGCACCACGAATGCTAGGTCCTGGAAACAAACAGATGGATTCAAACTCAAGGTGACTGTACATGCATTTACTCCTGGGCCCAACAACCCCACATCTAGAAATATCCTATAGATAAACCTGCAGATGAACAAAGCGACATATGTACAGAGTCATTCATTGTGGCATTGTCTGCAATAACAAAATAATGAACACAAATCATTTATTTTAATAGGAATCTGAGTAAATAAATCCAGTTTACTTACTTCAATACAAATGTACATCCAATACAATGGAATATATTTGTAAAAAATAATAAAGAAGTTTTCTATGTACTGATACAGAAAGATATCTAGAATACATGAACTGGACAAAAAGCAAGGTTCTGGACAATGCATACATAGTTACCCACCAAAGGTGGAAAATGAGAATATTTATTTATATTTGCTTGCATTTGCCTAAAAAACCACAGGAAAGAATACAAGAGATAACAGAAAAGAGAGTGAAAGTGAGATGTCTGAAACATATTTATTTTTATAGTTTTGACTTTTGAAACAAATAGATGTGTTACCTATTCAATAAAAAGTTATCTTTAATATAAAAAAGAAAAAATAACTCTTCCCATAGGAACAGTTAAGAAAAGTCAAATCCAAGTTACCCACTCTGACCTAGGGAAAGATCTTAGAGATTTAGTCTAAAATCAGTTCATTCTTTAAGGAAACCTGTAGATGGAGTTATTTGGGCCTTGAAAATACTTCTTCTAAGGTAGGAATCCTTACGTGGCAAGTCCTTTGCTTTCCACAAATAGCAAGCCCTGTGCTATGCTTCTTCTAACACCTGCCCCTCAAGTTGCTCTTAGAGAAAATGTAAAACTCTGGAGTACTTGACCTGTGAAGATCACAGGACTCACACACAGATCCAATTGCGATTTCAGCTGAAGACCACTTGTTCTTCCCTGGCTATTTCAGGGTGACAAAGATCACAGTATGCTTTTCTCTAGGGGGTGTAAAAACTACAGAATTCATTATGTCATATCAAGGTTCTACTAAACTCATGAAATGGCCTGAGCTGGCTATGAGCTTGCTCTCAAGGTAAATGTCAGAGTTCATAGCTACTCTTTTCTGAACTACCTAGGCTGGAAAGATTTTTTTTTTTAAAGTTTGGGGAAGAATTGCTTCATTTCTTTTAAAGATATTCTGTGCTACTTAAAAATGTTTCAATTAAGTGTGAAAGGGGCATCATAACTTTAGAAAGGAAGACACAAGAGAGTAAGGGAGGATGTAGTGCTAACCTCCTCTCCTCTATCATTTATCATCCAGGTTGTTTCTCTGAAGAGATATCATCACTAGCAGCTGTTACAGTAGGTAAAACTCCTACACTTCTCACTTATTTTTAAAAGGACAGTCAATTTGACAGGCATACCTAGTCATGTGATCCACAGGGAGGAAAGGCATTCCTCAGCTGTTAGGTGAACCCACGCTGGGTTTTTGCAGTTTCCCTAATATCACTTGAAGATCAGACGGGCAAACAAGCTGTTAGAGAATACCCAGCATAGGTCCTACTACCAGAGAAGAGGGAGGAAAATTATAATAACTGCCAAGAATGAGGCATCTTTGAAAAAACAATCTTATTGGCAAGTAAGAGAGGCTTCCCAAAACATCAAGAAACTATAAACATGCTTACATTTGGAAGATGTAGCCTAACTTTCTATTCAATAAAAGAATTACTCTGCAGTGCCCTTAACAAATAAACTCCATGCCACACCTGAATTCAGGTGGCATCCAGATAGAACAGCTAGGAAAATTCAGTACCAGGAGTTCTAATAAGATAAAGGAAGTCTGCTAAAAGGTCTACTCATCGAGTCAGAGTCATTTATGCAAATACCCCAACTTCGCAGTTCCTCACCAGTAATGGAACAAAGCTGGACGGAGAATGACTTTGAAGAGTTGAGAGAAGAAGGCTTCAGACAATCAAACTACTCCGAGCTACAGGAGGAAATTCAAACCAAAGGCAAAGAAGTTGAAAACTTTGAAAAAATTTTAGAAGAATATATAACTAGAATAAGCAATACACAGAAGTGCCTAAAGGAGCTGATGGAGCTGAAAGCCAAGGCTCGAGAACCACGTGAAGAATGCAGAAGCCTCAGGAGCCGATGCGATCAACTGGAAGAAAGGGTATCAGTGATGGAAGATGAAATGAATGAAATGAAGTGAGAAGGGAAGTTTAGAGAAAAAAGAATAAAAAGAAATGAACAAAGCCTCCAAGAAATATGGGACGATGTGAACAAACCAAATCTGCGTCTGATTGGTGTACCTGAAAGTGACGGGGAGAATGGAACCAAGTTGGAAAACACTCTGCAGGATATTATCCAGGAGAACTTCCCCAATCTAGCAAGGCAGGCCAACATTCAGATTCAGGAAATACAGAGAACTCCACAAAGATACTCCTTGAGAAGAGCAACTCCAAAACACATAATTGTCAGATTCACCAAACTTGAAATGAAGGAAAAAATGTTAAGGGAAGCCAGAGAGAAAGGTTGGGTTACCCACAAAGGGAAGCCCATCAGACTAACAGCAGATCTCTCGGCAGAAACTCTACAAGCCAGAAGAGAGTGGTGGCCAATATTCAACATTCTTAAAGAAAAGAATTTTCAACCCAGAATTTCATATCCAGCCAAACTAAGCTTCCTAAGTGAAGGAGAAATAAAATACTTTACAGACAAGCAAATGCTGAGGGATTTTGTCACCACCAGGCCTGCCCTAAAAGAGCTCCTGAAGGAAGCACTAAACATGGAAAGGCACAACCTGTACCAGCCGCTGCAAAATCATGCCAAAATGTAAAGACCATCGAGACTAGGAAGAAACTGCATCAACTAACGAGCAAAATAACCAGCTAACATCATAATGACAGGATCAAATTCACACATAATGATATTAACTTTAAATGTAAATAGACTAAATGCTCCAATTAAAACACACAGACTGGCAAACTGGATAAAGAGTCAAGACCCATCAGTGTACTGTATTCAGGAAACCCATCGCACATGCAGAGACAGACATGGGCTCAAAATAAAAGGAGGGAGGAAGATCTACCAAGCAAATGGAAAACAAAAAAAGGCAGAGGTTGCAATCCTAGTCTCTGATAAAACAGACTTTAAACCAAAAAAGATCAAAAGAGACAAAGAAGGCCATTACATAATGGTAAAGGGATCAATTCAACAAGAAGAGCTAACTATCCTAAATATATATGCACCCAACACAGGAGCACCCAGATTCATAAAACAAGTCCTGAGTGACCTACAAAGAGACTTAGACTCCCACACATTAATAATGGGAGACTTTAACACCCCACTGTCAACATTAGACAGATCAACGAAACAGAAAGTTAACAAGGATACCCAGGAATTGAACTCAGCTCTGCACCAAGCGGACCTAATAGACATCTACAGAACACTCCACCCCAAATCAACAGAATAGACATTTTTTTCAGCACCACACCACACCTATTCCAAAATTGACCACATACTTGGAAGTAAAGCTCTCCTCAGCAAATGTAAAAGAACAGAAATTATAACAAACTGTCTCTCAGACCACAGTGCAATCAAACTAGAACTCAGGATTAAGAAACTCACTCAAAACTGCTCAACTACATGGAAACTGAACAACCTACTCCTGAATGACTACTGGGTACATAACGAAATGAAGGCAGAAATAAAGATGTTCTTTGAAACCAACAAGAACAAAGATACAACATACCAGAATCTCTGGGACACATTCAAAGCAGTGTGTAGAGGGAAATTTATAGCACTAAATGCCCACAAGAGAAAGCAGGAAAGATCCAAAATTGACACCCTAACATCACAGTTAAAAGAACTAGAAAAACAAGAGCAAACACATTCAAAAGCTAGCAGAAGGCAAGAAATAACTAAAATCAGAGCAGAACTGAAGGAAATAGAGACACAAAAAAACCTTCAAAAAATTAATGAATCCAGGAGCTGGTTTTTTGAAAGGATCAACAAAATTGATAGACCGCTAGCAAGACTAATAAAGAAAAAAGGAGAGAAGAATCAAATAGATGCAATAAAAAATGATAAAGGGGATATCACCACTGATCCCACAGAAATACAAACTACCATCAGAGAATACTACAAACACCTCTACGCAAATAAACTAGAAAATCTAGAAGAAATGGATAAATTCCTCGACACATACACTCTGCCAAGACTAAACCAGGAAGAATTTGAATCTCTGAATAGGCCAATAACAGGATCTGAAATTGTGGCAATAATCAATAGCTTACCAACCAAAAAGAGTCCAGGACCAGATGGATTCACAGCCAAATTCTACCAGAGGTACAAGGAGGAACTGGTACCATTCCTTCTGAAACTATTCCAATGAATAGAAAAAGAGGGAATCCTCCCTAACTCATTTTATGAGGCCAGCATCATCCTGATACCAAAGCCGGGCAGAGACACAACCAAAAAGGAGAATTTTAGACCAATATCCTTGATGAACATTGATGCAAAAATCCTCAATAAAATACTGGCACACCGAATCCAGCAGCACATCAAAAAGCTTCTCCACCATGATCAAGTGGGCTTCATCCCTGGGATGCAAGGCTGGTTCAATATATGCAAATCAATAAATGTAATCCAGCATATAAACAGAACCAAAGACAAAAACCACATGATTTTCTCAATAGATGCAGAAAAGGCCTTTGACAAAATTCAACAACCCTTCATGCTAAAAACTCTCAATAAATTAGGTATTGATGGGACACATTTCAAAATAATAAGAGCTATCTATGACAAACCCACAGCCAATATCACACTGAATGGGCAAAAACTGGAAGCATTCCCTTTGAAAACTGGCACAAGACAGGGATGCCCTCTCTCACCACTCCGATTCAACATAGTGTTGGAAGTTCTGGCCAGGGCAATTAGACAGGAGAAGGACATAAAGGGTATTCAATTAGGAAAAGAGGAAGTCGAATTGTCCCTGTTTGCAGATGACATGATTGTATATCTAGAAAACCCTATTGTCTCAGCCCAAAATCTCCTTAAGCTGATAAGCAACTTCAGCAAAGTCTCAGGATACAAAATCAATGTACAAAAATCACAAGCATTCTTATACACCAATAACAGACAAACAGAGAGCCAAATCATGAGTGAACTCCCATTCACAATTGCTTCAAAGAGAATAAAATACTTAGGAATCCAACTTACAAGGGATGTGAAGGAACTCTTCAAGGAGAACTACAAACCACTGCTCAATGAAATAAAAGAGGATATAAACAAATGGAAGAACATTCCATGCTCATGGGTAGGAAGAATCAATATTGTGAAAATGGCCATACTGCCCAAGGTAATTTATAGATTCAATGCCATCACCATCAAGCTACCAATGACTTTCTTCACAGAACTGGAAAAAACTACTTTAAAGTTCATATGGAACCAAAAAAGAGCCCGCATCGCCAAGTCAATCCTAAGCCAAAAGAACAAAGCTGGAGGCATCACGCTACCTGACTTCAAACTATACTACAAGGCTACAGTAACCAAAACAGCATGGTACTGGTACCAAAACAGAGATATAGATCAATGGAACGGAACAGAGCCCTCAGAAATAACGCCACATATCTACAACTATCTGATCTTTGACAAACCTGAGAAAAACAAGCAATGGGGAAAGGATTCCCTATTTAATAAATGGTGCTGGGAAAACTGGCTAGCCATATGTAGAAAGCTGAAACTGGATCCCTTCCTTACACCTTATACAAAAATTAATTGGAGATGGATTAAAGACTTAAATGTTAGACCTAAAACCATAAAAACCCTAGAAGAAAACCTAGGCATTACCATTCAGGACATAGGCATGGGCAAGGACTTCATGTCTAAAACACCAAAAGCAATGGCAACAAAAGACAAAATTGACAAATGGGATCTAATTAAACTAAAGAGCTTCTGCACAGCAAAAGAAACTACCATCAGAGTGAACAGGCAACCTACAAAATGGGAAAAATTTTTCGCAACCTACAAAATGGGAGAAAATTTTCGCAACCTACTCATCTGACAAAGGGCTAATATCCAGAATCTACAATGAACTCAAACAAATTTACAAGAAAAAAACAAACAACCCCATCAAAAAGTGGGCAAAGGATATGAGCAGACACTTCTCAAAAGAAGACATTTATGCTGCCAAAAAACACATGAAAAAATGATCATCACTGGCCATCAGAGAAATGCAAATCAAAACCACAATGAGATACCATCTCACACCAGTTAGAATGGCAATCATTAAAAAGTCAGGAAACAACAGGTGCTGGAGAGGATGTGGTGAGACAGGAACACTCTTACACTGTTGGTGGGACTGTAAACTAGTTCAGTCATTGTGGAAGTCAGTGTGGCGATTCCTCAGGGATCTAGAACTAGAAATACCATTTGACCCAGCCATCCCATTACTGGGTATATACCCAAAGGACTATAAATCATGCTGCTATAAAGACACATGCACACGTATGTTTACTGCGGCACTATTCACAATAGCAAAGACTTGGAACCAACCCAAATGTCCAACAATGATAGACTGGATTAAGAAAATGTGGCATATATACACCGTGGAATACTATGCAGCCATAAAAAATGATGAGTTCATGTCCTTTGTAGGGACATGGATGAAATTGGAAATCATCATTCTCAGTAAACTATCGCAAGGACAAAAAACCAAACACCGCATGTTCTCACTCATAGATGGGAATTGAACAATGAGAACACATGGACACAGGAAGGGGAACATCACACTCTGGCGACTGTTGTGGGGTGGGGGGAGGGGGGAGGGATAGCATTAGGAGATACACCTAATGCTAAATGACGAGTTAATGGGTACAGCACACCAGCATGGCACATGTATACATATGTAACTAACCTGCACATTGTGCACATGTACCCTAAAACTTAAAGTATAATAATAAAAAAAAATACCCCAAGTTCAAGTTGGGTTAAGTCCAGATTCCACAAGACTGGCACAGATGAGAAGGAAGCACACATTGATGGAAGCTCAAATAAGTGGACCATATTGAGAGTCAATATGGCCAATCAAAAACTTGTAGGCATACGAGTTGGCGAACTGACTTCAGAGATGAAGATATTAGTATAGAAATAATGGAGTAGATAGAAATTAGAGTGTGAACTAAAAGGTGCCTCCTTAGGGCAATATTGGCGTGACGGAGGGGTGTGTGTGTGCTTGTGTGTGTGTGTGTGTATGTTTGTATGCAAATAAAAGAAAGAAGTTATCAAAGGTAAATGTTCAAAAATGAGGCAATAAAAATACTAACCTATAAGAATGTAGAATAGGTCTAGCACTGGCTTAGAGTGTCAAACAGAAAATCTCTATGCAAGAATAATTTATACCACATGCAGCTTATGGACATGGGTGATTTACCAGAAACTATGTCCTTAAATATTTCTAGGTTTGTTTTGTTTGGTTAGGGTGTGAGGGGCATTTAAACCTTTGAAGGTTTGTTTTGTCTTGTTACAAAGTGAGTGGCACTTAGAAGTATTTAAGTAATGTACATTTCCCGTGATAAAACAATATAGAGTTACATAAGAAACATTAATAATATATACACAATTCTACCTCCCTGAGGAAACCATTAACAGATCGGTAAGCACCCCTCTATGCTCAAAGTACAAAAGGATTCCCTGCACTTAAAAACGTTGGATTCATATTCTACCTATAATGATGTAACTTACTTTTTTCATTTTACAATGTATTGTGGGCATTTCTCCCAGTCACTTTACATACATATCATATTCTTCTTAATAGAAGCATAGTATTTGCAGTATAGATTAACATAATTTAGTTAACTAATATAGATTGCTTCCAATATCACTACTATAAATAATGTACATTTTTTCCATTTATCTTTTTACCTATGTTATATCGTTATAACATCTATAAGCTTTTCCATTCAAACTACCTTTTGGTCTTTAGATAACAGTTTTATAGCTTTCTCCAAATAGATTTTACACATTTCCTTTTAGGTTTATTTTTATGTATTTCATATATTTTCCATAAAGTCTTCTAATTGATTATTGCTCAAATATGGGATATCCATTACATATTTGTATACATACATTTATAAAATATAGAAAATATATATGTATATTATTTTATTTATAATGTAGCCACCTCTTTAATCAAATTTGCTTATTATTCACGAGTTTTGTATTTCATTCTCTTACTCTAGGTAACATTCACCTAAAAATAAAGATTTTGCTGCTTCTGGTAAATACGTATACAGCTTCTTTTTGTTGTATTAACTAGACCTATCAGAACAATGCTGAATAATTAATGTCTACTTTTAAAAATAATTTAAAAATATACTTTTAGCCAAAATATATTTAAAAATTATTTACCATTCTTGATGTTAGGGAAAACAAGATGTGCAGGTGAACTTCTGTTTTCAGCAGCTTCTTTCTTCGGGCTAACAGCTGAAATAAAACTGCTGAAAGTGGAAATTTGGCCTTTGGCTCCTCTGTCCAAACCCTGAAAACAGAAAAGTTAACATTGCAGTATACTTCCTACTACCTATAAATTATTTTATTGCAAAAATCACAAACATTTATAAGAGATTTTAATTTGATGACGAGTAGATAATAGATAAAAACGTATATAAATTTGACTTACCTTTTCTAGGACTTAACTGTCTCACATATAAAACAGCCTTATTATCTATCCAATTACAAATTGAGAAGTTTGGAAATGGGAATAACAACAGTACCTATCTTATAGATTTACTGTAAGATTTAACAGAGATAATGCACATAATTAGCATTGTTCCTTGCACATTATACACCCTCCATTAATGTTAACTACAATTTTAACTGTGTATTTAAATAATACTATTTTTGTGACCTCCATAAATATTATTTTTAATAAATAGGATGCATGTGATACCTTACAGGCTGATTCACTGAAGGCTATCCTCTCATTTGATGCAACTTTACAAGTTCAGGTAAAAAGATAACCCTTTAGAGTTTATGTTTTTCTAAGCACTGTGATTGGGCATACCAGAATTTTTTTTTAGAAGTAGTGCTAAGCACTTGGGATCCTTAGGCACAGGTAATAGCAATCTTCTAAAACATGGAATCTATCCATTATCACATCTTTCACAAAATAACAACTCTATAAAATTCATAGTACTTATTTAATTAATCAGTATTTTGTAATTATACAAAAAATCTTCACACATACTTTGAAGCGCAAGATTAAACTATAGAGCTGCCTCAGGGCTTATTCTCAGCTCTCTGGGATCTTTTTATACTATGTTCCAATTTCCAGATGCTTAAGAGAATACAGTAGTTAACTTCTTTTAACATCCACTTTTAAATTCTAAAGGTAACGTCTTCACTTTCACAGTAGAGGAAGAGTTTCTTTTTCATCTCCTCCTTCTTAATTCACCAGACTGATTGCCATTTACCTTTTCAGAATTCACTCATATAATATAGCAGAAGCATTTATGCTCACTAAATTCCCCATTCTCTTGCAGTTAGGTAGAGCCATCTGATTCATTCTAACAGGCCACAAGTGGAAAAGACGTCTGTCATTTCTGAGTCAGAAAGTACCAATGCATTTAAGACTGGGGCAAAACTCTAGCTCTTCTCTCTTTTCCTCGACTGTGGCAACCATCCAGGCTGAGTTGACATGTTAGAGCATCTGTTAGCTTGGGTTCTTGAGTGACTATGTGAAACAGAGCCAATCCTGACCAATGTTAGACTATATCATTAGCAATAATAAACCTTAATAGTTTTCAAACACTGAAACTTGGGGCTAATTTGTAACTGCAGAATAGCCTATCATAACTTGTTTCTGAAGCTTTTTCCAGTGTTCACCATTTCTATAAAACCAATCATTCTTATTTATTCTTCTAATTTATTTACATTGTTCCACTAAAATTATAATCATTCTAATGTTGGCCCTTCATGCTGGACTAGAAGTTCATCACAGAGCTTGTCATACAGTGAATCTTGTGCATAGGTGCTACACTTTAAATTTACTTTTTAAAGAAATTAATATAAAAGAGCCCAAAGAGAATAAATTTCAGACACTATACACATAGAATTAAGAAGTCTCTAGAATTAATAGACTTTTAGAAATTAGTTAACTCCTTCATTTCACAGAAAGGAAAGTGGAACTGTCTGAGACTCACCTAAAGTGACCTAACAAGCAATGGAGATGTAATGGACACTACATGGGAACCTGAGGGACACTTCCATGAGTAAAGTAAAAACACATATGCATTTTTTTGGTGTGACATTTTTGCCTGTTCATAGATTTTATTGTAATTTGTTTTTGCTTGGTCCTTGATTCTTGGCCAGATTTCAGCTCAGTAATGTCTGGGTTAATATTTCTGTGTTAGGAAACAAGTCATTTGTTGAGTACTTGTTATACACCTACTACTACAGTACCTACTTTAATACATTATAACATTCCTATATGTATTTACACCCCATTTTATAGATGGGGAAATTGAATTTCCATGCCCATGTTCACAGAGCTGATAAATGGGAAGCCAGGATTCAAACTCCAGTTTGAATGACCATGAAATCTGTATTCTTAACACTTATATTACAGTCTCCCACTATAGCAGCTGTCACTAATTAAGGGCTTAACATGTGACAGTACGTGTGTTGAACACATCAGCCTATTTTCACAACAACCCTTTGTGGCTGATGTAATCTCTACTTTTATAGATGTATGTTGAGTTAAATTTAATCGCTTTAGGAGCAATTCACCTAACCAGAGAATATTACATAAGCAGAACAACTAAGTGTACTTTAGGGAAACTTCTCATGTCCTAAACCATCTAGGAAAGACTAACATTTTCTTTTCTTCCCCCTTCCTTCACCTCTTCTTAATAAAAGAAGTCTCAAAGAATATTGCTTAGTTCACTTGTGGGATCTCCAAACAATAAAAATTAAGAATTCAATTAACAGTTATTCAACAACTATCAGTTCTAATGTCTAGTGGATTTACAGTCTCAAAGATAAGAGAGAAAATTGAAAAGAGAGGTAAGACAGTGATACACAATACCTTTCCATAAAATAGTCAGTAAATTATGTAATTTGCATAATATTGGTAAATTAAAGCAGTTTGTTCAGGTACACAAAACTAGTGTGTTGATTAGGAAAATGAAATATAAACAGGTTACATATTTGAAAAAGTAAATCATTCCTTATTATATGTATTAGGATGCTTAAATAAGAATTTTATTAATGACTGGGGCTAAGTTTGCTTACTTGTATATTTTGTTGTCAGAAAATCTTAATAATAGTGCGAACAAATGCCAAATTGGACACACAAATTTGACAGTTATAAGAAAGTAACCAATTTGTAAAATAAGGTTAGCCGTGCTTGTATAATAAATGGTCCCTCAGCAACAGACCTTTGTTAACTTAGCTGTAAACATCTACAATAATTTAACACATAGAAGGCATTTTTTCATTGACAACTGTCATGAATGTTATCTAAGACTAAGCAACAGTAGTATTTAGGGAGCAGTGTAGTTGGAATATAGAATCAGAAAGGGAGAATGGTCCAGCAAGATATGACTGGGAAGGTAGGTAGTGGCCATATTATGAGGCCTTCAGGCTACAGAGTATAGATTCTATCCTGAACAGAGATAGAGAAAAATCATTGAGGACTTCTAAGCAAGATATGACATGATCATATCTGTATTTTAGAAAAAAATCACTATGGTAGCAGTCTAGGGAATAGAATAAAGGGCAGAAATACTGGAAGCTAAACCAGGCCTACTGGAAGAAATGAAATTTGAATAGAGATAGTAATAATAGGGAATGAAGAGGAATGACAGCCTGGGCCAAGAAATGACCAAATTGTTAACAGCGATTTCAGGTGTAAGTCTGAAGCATAATGAAAATGAACAAACCCTCCCATAAATTATAAAGTAAGTGAAATAAACAATGTAAAATGCTTTCTTCAAATTTCAGAAGAATAGGCATATTTTGACACCTCACTGTATAGAAGAGGGCATCTTTGAAGAAAATTCTAGACTGGGTTTTATCAACATGATTTGTGAGTAACTACTAAAGGAACCAATGCTCACTAGGCAAAAGTATGCTTCGCATGATGAAATAATGAATTTTTATAACAGGGTTATTGTAATATATCAACAGAAAACCTATAACGAGCTTGTCCAACCCACAGCCCCCAGGGTGCATGCAGCCCAGGATGGCTTTGAATGCGGCCCAACACAAATTCATAAACTTTCTTAAAACATTATAAATTTTTTTTGTGATTTTTTCTTTTTAGCTCATCAGCCATAGTTTGTGTTAGTGTATTTTATGTGTGACACAAGACAATTCTTCCAATGTGGCCCAGGGAAGCCAAAAGATTGGACACAACTGATAATATAAGGACAGAACTGTGGGAAATATTGGCATGTATGATGTGAGCTGGCAAAGGAGATTAAGAATGAATGACCAAAGAAATCCAGAAGAAAGTGATGTGTTAAAAATATGGGAGGATAAAGTTTCAAGAAAAAAAAAAGGTCAATAATGTTAAATAATGAAGAGTGGTTAGGTCTAAAATGTGCCTAACGGAAATGGGCAACTATGAATCTTGAGGACAGCTGAGGTAACAGATTTAGGGTAATGGTGGTGGCACGGACTATACAAAATAAATTGACAAATGAATGGGAAGTTAGAAAATGAAAGCAATGAGCAAGGATGACTCAGAAGCTTTACTGAAGGGGAAAAAAGCCTGAGGGGGGGAAGAATGCAAAGGTTTGAGGGAAGATCTACTATGCACATTACCATGGCTGCCATCTAATGTTCCCTTATATTTAAATTGCCCCACTCATGGTCCCCATAGCATTGCTGTTATTCTTTGTGCAGGAATGGCTGTGGACTAGAGCTGAGGTAGGCACTCAACTAAGGGGCAACCCATCTGCAATTAGGGTAGCCATGTATTAGCTGGCTTGGCATGATGGACATTGATGCTTCCTAGTATGTCAATCAGAAGTCTTTCCAGATTTTAGACAGGGGAATATAGAAAAGACTGACTAGCTAAAAGAGAATAGCAGAGGCACAAAAAACAGCCAGTCTCTGTTCCTTTGCTTTCTGCTTCCAATCTATGTGCCTCATTCCAATAAATTCTCTTTTGCCAAAAGGAGGCATAGTAGACTGATTTTCTTTTTTTCTTTTTTTTTTTTTCTTTTGAGATATAGTCTTGCTCTGTCGCCCAGGCTGGAGTGCAGTGGCACGATCTCGGCTCACTGCAACCTCTGCCTCCTGGTTCTACTGATTCTCCTGCCTCAGCCTCCTGAGTAGCTGGGATTATAGGCACATGCCACCATGCCCAGCTTTTTTTTTTTTTGTATTCTTAGTAGAGATGGGGTTTCACCATGTTGATCAGGCTGGTCTTGAATTCCTGACCTCATGATCTACCTGCCTCGGCCTCCCAAAGTGCTGGGATTACAAATGTGAGCCACTGCACCCAGCCTGATTTTCTTTTTTTTTTTTTTTGTAATCATAAAAGCTTAAACAACATAGAAAAAAATTCCTTGGTCTAATAAGTCTCTTGTTTGTAAAATAATTGTGCTCTTGACACGTTATACTTGAGATGACATGAAATTAATCAGACATTTTCACACATTGATAGAATAATAAAAGTCAATCCTCAAAACACTGGTTGCCCCACATCAGCTCATACAAGAGAAATCTTACAACCTAAGACTTTCATGAGAAAAAAAACGGGCATCATTTTGTGCAATGGCAAAATGATTAATATTAGAGAATCAAATCAAGAAGTTACTGGGTATTTAATACGACACCAAACTCCAGACTAAATTAAACGTTAAAGAACATTACTTTACAAACCTTCTGAAATTTGGACCACAGCTATTACTGAGTTTTGTATACGTTATCTATGAGTCCTACAGGAGAACACTAAAGATGATGGCCTGGAATGTGGCCAGCCTACAAACAGTGGGCTGGGGGTGTTGAGGAATAGTAGTGGGATACTCAACCAGCTGTTCCAGATTGAAGATAAGTACAAATAGAGAACACAGGGAAAAACACTAAGAATTCTTTGAGGGAAAGAAATACTCAAAATATTTCAACCTTTAAATAATAGATATGTATTTATTTCAACCTAATAAATAATAGACCTGACTCTCTAGGCAGAGGCTGACCATACATTTATTAAACTCGAATTCAATAAACGTTGCAAACAGCAGAAAAACGTAGTAATTACAATAACTAACCAAAAATCTTATTTCACAAGTACCTAATGTGGGCTTCAATGGTCTTTTTGATGATATAATCACATAGATTATATGTAAGATTATAATATAAAATAATCTCAAGATATTTAAACAGACAAACACTTAGAGTACCTGTTCTGCTATTAACATATAGTTAAATATTTTCAACCTTATTTTAAATTTTATTTGAATACATGAGTTCCTACTTTCAACCTCTATTGAGGAACAGACTGAATCTTAAATTTCCAATTTCTTCGTCATATTTTTCTACCAATGCCAATAAGAATAACAACCATGGTTTTCCATCATCGCTTCTGAATTGACTAACAAGTGGTACTATATTCAAAATTCTGGTAAAATTTACTTTGATCATCCTCTATACTCCAAAAGTTGCCTTACAAGATCAACATTTTTCTTCACATTCTAACCCAATCCTTGAAAAAAGGAGTAAGTGCTGGCTGTTCCATCACGAAATGCTTTAAAAGCCGTATCTCACTATCTTAGAGTTTCTGAATTAAAATATTTTAAATTGAACGTCTATGTCTATAAAATTCACCCTTTAGTCTCAATGAGTCCAAGAATCTGTGATGCATATAAAAACTACTTTTTCAAAAGAATGAGTAGCTTCCTGAGATACTGAGCAAAGGTTATTATGACAAAAGACTGATAAATAAACATATATTTATAGGTTTCAAGTTAAAATAGAAAACATTTAAGATACCCTACTTTACCAATTTTTAATAAACTGACCTAAACTACCAATCAGAGCCATCCTGGAGCCAACGATATAATTTACAGTCTACAAAGAGACTATTTTAGGCCTTGATCCTGGGTAAAGATATTTTGTTTCTCTTTTTGTATGGTTTTTTTTCACAGTTCCCTATTAGGATGGTGGGTTACAAAATCATGAAATGCTGACTTTGTTCTACATCCTTCTACTAAGATATGAAAAGTCAGCTACTTTCAAGGTACAAACTTCCCTCCCAACCTAAATAGCACCAGCCCAAGTGGAATTGGTTTAAGTTATATAAATCATATCTTTAAATGGAGACTAGGAAATAAGGATGTGGATTCTGAAACAAAATTTTGTCACAAAAAAAAATCAACGCAATTGATCATATAGATGACTGAAAATTAGCCCTACAAACATTAGTCCTGAAGCTCAGAAATTTCAGTTCATTTATCACTAGGAAGGCAAGGTGGCATTAGAGATTTTATTCATTTATTTTATAATATAGGAAAAGATAAAAATACATGAATACATTATGGTTATACAGTAAAATACTACTTTTAAAATATGCAATTTGATCCAGTCAAAATTCTCAATCAATTAAGAGTCTTGTTCTTTTTTTTTAACAAAAACATCTAGAACAAAACCAAGTTAATTTGAAATACATTAAGCAGACTCAAATTTCAGACTGACTTTTTCAATTCAGCTGAATTGGTAAAATCTCAATAATTTCTATTTTTAAAAGGCACATTCATTGGCGATCATTAAAAAGTCAGGAAACAACAGGTGCTGGAGAGGATGTGGAGAAATAGGAACACTTTTACACTGTTGGTGGGACTGTAAACTAGTTCAACCATTGTGGAAGTCAGTGTGGTGATTCCTCAGGGATCTAGAACTAGAAATGCCATTTGACCCAGCCATCCCATTACTGGGTATATACCCAAAGGATTATAAAACATGCTGCTATAAAGACACATGCACACGTATGTTTATTGCGGCACTATTCACAATAGCAAAGACTTGGAACCAACCCAAATGTCCAACAATGATAGACTGGATTAAGAAAATGTGGCACATATACACCATGGAATACTATGCAGCCATAAAAAATGATGAGTTCATGTCCTTTGTAGGGACATGGATGAAGCTGGAAACCATCATTCTCAGCAAACTATCACAAGGACAAAAAACCAAACACCGCATGTTCTCACTCGTAGGTGGGAACTGAACAATGAGAACACATGGACACAGGAAAGGGAACATCACACACCCGGGCCTGTTGTGGGGGGGCGGGGAGGGATAGCATTAGGAGGTATACCTAATATTAAATGATGAGTTAAAGGGTGCAGCACACCAACATGGCACATGTATACATATGTAACAGAACTGCACGTTGTGCACATGTACCCTAAAACTTAAAGTGTAATAAAAAAAAAGAAAAAAGTAAATGAATAAATGCAGTCTCTAAAGCAAAAAAAAAGGGCACATTCATTTCATTATTTCAAAAAATGTTTTTTGATGGCTCACTAGAATGTCACACAGATATCCTCCAAGTTACAAATATCAACTTAAGAGTAAGTAGTTATTCATATAGCTCACCAGTATAACATTTTACCACTCAAGAAGGGATTCTTCACTCAGAGTTAACTACAAAACTATAAAAAAAGGAGAAAAAATAGGGAAATCAAAGCTTCTCAGAGCTTTCTCATCTCCACCTACTTCCTCATTCATCTTCTGTTGATCTTTCTCTACTCTTCTTCAACTTTAACTAAAAATAGTTAATTTCCAAACACTATGCCAAAAGAAGTTGCTACTCTGGCAATAGTATCTGTACACCTTTTGAAGGCTCTTTCTTTTCCCTTTCAAAAGAAATTAATATGAACTGAGACATATACCAGCCCCAAAGAGTTCAGAGAGTGCATGACATCCCTTAATTCTGGGGAGTGGTGGGGTGGTGGGAAGGATAATAACTCGGAGGTGAGGGGGACGGTGGAGGTTTATAAAGGCAAAGGCAATACATACAGGGCCTGAGGCTTGATATAGAAGGCTGTTAAGGAAAGTACCAAATCCACAGGACAGGAGTAGAGGAGAAAGGGCTGGCTGGCTTACAAACAGCTTTTCAGCTACAGATGTTGCTTTATAAACACAATCATGTGTCACTTAACAATGAGGATATTTTCTGAGAAATGCTTCATTAGGCAACTTTGTAGCTGTGCAAACATCACAGAGTGTACTTATACAAATCTAGATAGTACAGCTTACTACACACCTAGGTTATATGATATAGCCTATTGCTCACATGATACACACACCTATAGAGCATGTTACCATGCTGAATACTGTAGACAACTGTAACACTAAGTATGCATCTAAACATATCTAAACAGAAAAGGCATTAGACTGCCTTCAGATTATGTGATCTGTCATTGACTAGAACATTGTTATGTGACACACGACTTTAATAATCTCATCTAACACTGAGTGCTTTGTACAAGGTTTTTTTCTAAATGTTTTATGTGTGTTAATTTAGACTTCATTTCTACCTTATGCAGTAGGTTCAATTATTATTTTTGCCATTTTATAGATGGAGAGTTATAAACAGCAAAGCAGAATCGTACTTGACTTTTTTGGAGGTTCTCTGGCTCACAATTTATAATGACCGCTTTTCTCCAATTGTTAAATATAGTTATAAATTATTTGTGTCCTAATGGGTTATTCATGAAGGGGAAAATAAGCAAGCACTACATTATGGCTTTGTGGTTTAAAAAAAAAAGTTGACAAAGAGACTTTACGGCTTTGTGGTTTAAAAAAAAAGTTGACAAAGAGACTTTACAACCCACTCAAACTTAGAGACATGCTGGGTATGTATTTATAAAGCCATAGCCCTCCCTTTTTATGTATTAAGTCTCTTGGACTATTTTGCTTCAATCAGATTGATTTTACATATAATTTAATGATCTATTCATACCATAAAAAAGCAAATAGATATCCTAGAACATATCTTTCCCATGATTGTTCTATCTCTAGTAACAAATATCTGAACAAATTTGTTACTGGACAACATGCTCTTTTTCAAACTAGAAATACTGCCATAGGTGCAGCTTCTTTGTACCACATGGTCCCTATTACCTATGACCGCAAATGTCGAGTGTTCAGAATTGGGCAAAGAACATGAGTCGGAAACATCTCTGTTATAAAGCAACCACTGTCCCTGACTAGCCATTTTACTCCTTAGCAAGGTACACATAACCTGACTCTCAGATTCTTTTTCTGTGAAGTGGAAAAATATCTTCCTCACAGGGTTGTTGTGATTGCTTTTGGTTGCATTATTTAACTAAATAAAAGAATACATGGCAAATGCTTAGCACAGAGTAGGCACTCAATAAGTAGCTATTATTGTTATAAACACTTATTTTGTATATTTGTAATATCTGTAGTTTATTCAATTACTTAAACATCATCACCATAGCATTCATTCTTTCCCATCTCACCTCTTGTTTAGAACATAATGAACAAAGAGCACAACATTTTTCATACAAGATTGTTCCAAATACCTAGCTGGGCATATTGTTGTTAAGTACACACACACACACACACACACACACACACACACACACTTTCTCTAATTTGGAATGCTATTGACCTCATCTGGAAACCTGAGTCCTTTTCCTTTATTAATCTTTCTTCTCTTTCATTTCTGCTGTCTAGTTAGGTCCCACATGGTGTGTATGCTCCCATCCCTTACACTCTGTCCTGTGGCCACCACCTTAGTGGATGCACTCATTGCCTCAGGCATGAGCTACAAAGCTCTTTTCTTCACTTTCTCCCTCCTCTAGTTTAACTATACACTACCACTGATTTCATTATGTTGTTCCTCTGTTTCAGAAATTGCAATAGCTTCCCACTAACCGCAGGGGGAAAAAAAAACTGTCTAAGCTTTTCTGCCTAGTGATCTGGCTCCAGCCCCCATGCAATCTTTCTCACCTCCCACAAGTTCCCAGCATGCTTCCACTGGGCTCGCTTTATTACTCACTAATTTTTCCTTTTAAGCCTTGCTCATGCTGTTTTCGTCACTGGATTACTTTGCCCACTTTCTTCTGCCTATCCAAATCCTATCATTTTTCAATGGCCAGCCAGCTTAAATAATTACCTTTACTTCAAGGCCTTTCTTCACAGTTCTGCACACAGTGATCTCCTTTCTCTCATCTCTGATAGTACAAATTGTTTCTATGGCTCATTGTGGTTTTTACATATTGCTTTGCTTTTCATGTGTTAACCCTGCATACCCTGAGGCAGAGACCATTTTTTAAAACCTTGTCTTTTTGCATTTTTTGTAGCACCTAGCACAAAGCTAAACATAACAGATGTTCAATAATTGGTAGTTACATTTTGTCCCAGGGACTCCATCAACCCCATTTATACACAACTGATAAGCCAACTTCTCATTCTTGTTACTAAACTTTCCATCAAATTCTCTCGACACACCTTATGCTCACCCTCAAACTCTTCCCCTTGTCTTCCATTATAGGCTAACATCCCTTTAAAATTCTCAACTAAATTCCTCCCATTTCTCTTCACCTCTCTGACCTAAGTCAAATCTAGCTCTTTCTTGAACCCAATGTACTGGTACCCTATCCAGAGGGTTCTACCCCATGTAGAACCTCTCTTTTCTGTTCACCTGATTAGGTGTAGAAGTAGCCAGTCAAATTCATCCTCGCTGCCACTGTTATTTCTGCCCCACCTCTAAGCATTTTCTTCTTTCTCATTCACCACTTTTTTAAACATGTGTAATACATCAGTAACTAATTTATAATATTCCACTCCAATCCATCAACCTCAGTAAATTTAATATTCACATCATCAGCCCTTCATATCCATACATTACTTCAAATTCTTTATTCTGTTTGACTCCATGGATTTGCATCACCTCTCCACAGCAGCAAGGCCAAGACCCAAACACTGAAAGTCTCTGAGGGCTCCATCTTGAGCCTCTTGAGAATCTCTAACTGGAACCACTGCCACTGCCATTTCTTTCAATTCCCCACCACGCCTGATTTCTACTGTCTCTTGTTCACTTCATCCATACCTGTCACAAGTCCATTTCAAACGCTGCTCCACAAACTAAGTAGATTTGGGAGATGGTAATTAAAAAATACAGATTCCTACACCTTGCCCATGGAGCTTTTGATTCAGTATATAGAGTGTCAAGTTTCAATCTTGGTATACCCAGGGAATTAAATTTAAAAAAGATGCCTGAGCAACATCCCCAGAAATTCTGATTTAACAATACTGCATTTGGGCCTGGATAATGATGGCTTTAAAAGTTTCTCAGTTAATTCTACTGTGCATCTAAGGTTGAAAACAGGTGCTCTAGGGTGAGATGTAGGAATGAGGACTTTAATATGCTACCAAGGTAACTCTGTGGTCAGTCAGGCTTGAAACCACTGTGTTAGGCACCTCCTCACTAGCTGGAATGGACTTCCTTCACGTTTAGATGGTCTTAGGATAAAACACTTCAGGGCTGCCCTTTCCAGCATTCTTTCTCCCACCCCTGTACCTTTCTGTAAACATAAAGGATACAGCCTAACTCTTCAACCTTATTTAGGGTCACTGTAAACTGACCTTCTACTTATTGATAATATTTATATTATTTTATTCATATATATTCATTTATAAATGTGGTACAATGATTTTCTGAAAAAGCCACTATTGTAGGGTCACGAATTGAGTCATAGACACAAACTAGACAGGCAGAACCATTAGGCTGGGGCAAAAAGGAACAATCACTGGAATGTCTCAAAGAAAAAGTTATTGATGACAATTAGGTTCCTAAGCAAACCTCTAGGAGCTCTATTTAATCTACAGGAGGCTGAAAAACAACTCAAGAGGCCACAAGCTGTATTTCCCTGCCCACCTACCTCACACATCAAGACCTCCTCCCCCTCCCCACACATACCAAGGCCTTCCTAGCTGCTGTAAAAGTCAATCACCACCCCAGTTCTCCTGGATTTCTTATCCTTTGGATGGACTAAGGACCAAGCATAGATTTTCTACACTTAAGCTTTTCACTGCTATTAGCTCTGAATTCTAGCTTTGAAGTCTCTCTTTGACAAATACACACACACACACACACACACACACATTCTGCCACAGATCCTGTCATAAATTGTTTTTTTTTTTAAAAAATAAATAATCAATGGTACTGACTCTGAAAGACTTTATAAGGCACAAGCAAGGCTGAGGCAGGAGAATGGCTTGAACACGAGAGGCAGAGATTGCAGTGAGCCGAGATCAGGCTACTGCACTTCAGCCTGGCGACAGAGCAAGACTCCGTCTCAAAAAGAAAAAAAAAAAACCCTCAAGTTTTGTATATTTATCCTTATCCTCTTCTATTCCAACTCATACCTTTTCAAAGTTTAATTCAAGATTTAAATTTTTTTCTTGAATATATTCTTCTCTTTGTCTAGTAGTACAAGTCCATAATCCTCTATTTACAATTTCAAAGTCCTATAAATTCTTGAAACTGAAGTGTCTTTGCAACTCATTTGGTGGCAAAAACATGCACCTAATCTGAAATGACATGACGCTACTGACTTTTTCCCTTTAGCATGAACACATAATTTCATTACAGTTATTAAGATGGTTGATTAGAGAGAACTGGCTAGGACCTTACTGTGGGTATTAAATAATATATGATATATGTACCGAATTACCTTTCTAAAATCTGAAAAACTTGAAATCCCAAAGCAGACTGTAGACTTGTATCCACACTTGCAAATTCCAAAACGGCAATTTTTCAGTTATGAGATGAATAGGTTTTTGGGAGAGCGTTTGCTTGAGGACCTAAACCCACTCATTTAACTGTTTCTATAAGTACATACATTTACTGTTTTAAACAACCAACTTAGAAATGAACTGCTGGAATTCTGTGAGTTAAAGACTTCCTATATAAAATCTGAAAACCTAGGGTACCAGCAGCAGGAACCAGGTCTCCAAGCAGCTGGGTGACAAATTCCTTCAAAGCATTTTCTAGGGTAATCCCTAACCCCAGCTCCAATCTACCAATCAATTGTAGCTACGCTTTTAAACGTGTATCATTACTGTTCGCAATTTGCTGCATTGATTTAAAGAGCTTGTTTTAACAATTTCCAGTTATCAGGGCCCTCAGACATTTTTGAAAAACCTACCGAATCCGAAAATTATTCCTAACACCAATACAGTACTTAACGAAGAGTGAGCTATTTTAGTAAGTTCTTAGTCATTTAAGAGGGAGGTTTTAAGAAATGAACCGCAAGTAGGAATAAAGAAAATGTATAATGTTCACTAAACTTTTACTATTTTGTCACACACAGCTGCATGACAAGTCATGATCTTTAAATATATCAAAGCAAACTTTCAAAAAGTACTTAAATATTATGTCAAAATAAAAAATTGCAAAATCCGAGGTTTTTTTTTAAATTGTGCTTCAAATTAACCAGTCACAACCACCAGTAAAAATAGGGAAAGAGGGGGAGGGGGCTGTCCCATGACATCATCTGGCAATATGTAGTTTGAAGCCTGACAGCGCTCTCCAAATAACCCTTACGAAGATACAGCTGGGAAATCATCCCTGTCAAGCTTAGATAACTTGGGTTTAAATAAAAGGTTCAAAAAGCCTCCCCCCACCTGAGTCACATGTCTGTACCATATGAAAAATAAAACCATCACTGATGCATCTACCTCCCACTACACTGACAGCAACGGAAAGGTCACAATTAAGTGGAAACTCGCCGCAGAGCCTGTTTAATCTGAAGGGGGAAGGGAAAGAAAAGCGAAGAAAAGGACAAAAATCTGCGCGCCTCCAAGGCAGGCAGGCAGGCAGGCACCTCCGTGGAAAACCCACTCCCGCCTGCTGACACCTATGCTCATCCAACAGATCATGCCGACTCAAGATGCAGGTCATTCTCTTAGAGAAAGTGGGGGCCCAAGCCCCAGAAAATAACCCAAACATCCAGCGGAACCGACCACCCCCAACATTTCCCGAGGGTGGTAGGTGTACCTCGCGAAGTGTTCGGGGCTGTCCACGAGGCACAACTCTTTTATTTCTGCCCAAGGAAGGGCGGCCTGAGTGCGTCTCCCTGGAGTGCCAGGGCGTGCCCAGGGTAAACGCAGGCCTCCTGACGGCCCTCGCCCGGCCGCCGTCCCTCCCAACTCCCGCCGTCCGGGGCGCCAGACGGCCCCGGCCCACCACCTACCGCGGTCGCGCCGGCGCCCGCCGATACGATGGGCGGCAGCTTCTCGCGCTCTGACTCCTTCCCTTTCCTCTCCTCAGGCGCGGGCGCCGCCACCACCAGCGGAGTGGCGGGCGAGGGTACCCGAACCGCCTCACTCATGTCGGGCCGGGCGGCGGGAGCGCCAGGCGGCGGCGGCGGCCTCAGTGTTGCTGGGGCTGGCGCTGCTGCTGCCGCCGCGGCCGCGAGAGGGCTCTGGGCTGCCGCTTCTAGCCGCCGCTGCCGCCGCCACTCCGCCCCCGCCCGCGCCCGCGCCTTTGCGCGCGAGCCCGAGGCCGCCCCCGCGCGCGCCAGCCCCGCGGACGCGGCTCCCCACAGGTCCCACAGGTTTCTTGCTCTCGCCTCCCCCGCCCGCCCGGGGCTCGCGCGTCGCGGGTCGGGAGCGCCGGCGGTAGTCCCCCTCGTCAACCCCGAGGGCCCGGAGAGAAGGCGCCACGGTCGACGCCCGACCGCCATATTGTTTGCAGAGTGTCGCCCGAGATGACGAGGAGACCCCGCACCCGGGCCGCGCAGGAGAACCTGGACTAAGGACGGGCAGTCGGGGAGACAAGTCGAGCCCTGCAAAGGGTCGGACGGGGATAGAGTGTCCGAGTGGTACCAGTAGGGCAGGACGTAGGCACAGACTACCCTTCACGGACGGCCCTGGCCTGCGGCGCCGAGTCCCGCGGGCAAGCGCCCTCGGGGTCTGGGCTGGTGGCCTTTCGCCTTCTTCCAGGCGCCCACAAAGCTGTCCGCCTTGGGGCTTCTGCCTTCTTATCCTTGCCCGCCCTCCTGAGCCCAGGAGAGGCGGCCCGGAGCTTGCGCAGCCCGGGGAGACAGCCTTCCTGGCTCAGCAACCGACTCTTTTGTACACGCCTGGATGGCTTCAGCCTACACAGGAAAAGCCTGGAGGTGGGGAGGAGTGCGACGTGGTGGGCCCCCCCTTTCCCCTTCCCCCATAGGATTGGACGGCCAGTCCACACTTTCCATTCCTGTTCCTCTCGTCCCTCTTTGACTGCCAAATCCGCCTCTCCCTTCCCGTCCCCACGCGCCTACGTTTTGCTCTCTCCCCGCAACCCTTTGCTGTCTCCTATCCGTCCCTTCCTTGTTCCTTTCCGTTTATGTTAGAGATGTACATACCCAAACTCTGCTGCACAGTCCTCAATCAAATCATTACAAATAGGAGTAAAAACTTGAAAGCCGAAGAAGAGAGCTTTTAATTATGAAATTAAAATACCCCCCACCTCCACCACCAGGACACCTAGACAATTTCCTTTCCTTTCTTGTCGCCCCCTCCTTTTCCTTTTTCTCAGTCTACTGGAGCGGCGGGGACACCTGCTGATCTAGGAGAAAAGAGAGTAAGAATGCGCTGTATCGCCTGTTAAAAGCAAGGAATTTCGATATTCAGCTCTATCAGATTTTTTATCTGTGCCTTCATTATTTTATTGGAGGTTGAGTGAATTTTTAGATCAAGAGTACCTAAGTCCAAATATAAGAACCAAAAATATCTCTGAAACAAACCCAAATATGATTTCGGGGTATCTATTGTTTACATAATTTGGAGTTATTAGTATAACTAAATACTAGTTATGGTGCATCATGAGATAAGGTTGCATGTTTTCAAACCCACAATTTGTAACAAGTAGATCTGAAGCAAACAATGTTGCCTTCTAAATTTTGAATTCTGACTTTCATTTATAGAAAGGCTTTCTACTTTAATATAGTTGCTGTTGCCACCTATTTACTTGTTAATTAACAAAAGGTATAGAATAAGTGCCATATAGTCAGCAAAAAGTATTTCAGTGCTAATAGCCTTGGAGGGAAAATGATGTATGTCGGCATTACTTTGAAGCATCCTCCTCCTTTCTATTAATATTTTTCTAAATTCTTTTTCAGGATTTTCTTTCCTTAAAACTACTGAAATACTCATCCCATAGAGAGGAACATAACATTATTTTCTGCTTTTAGCAGGTCTGTATGCTGATCATGGATACAGGAACAACTCAAATGTTATTTTATAAAATGAAGCCTTTATTTTAGCTGCAATTTCAGATATTCTGTGCTAAGTCTAGGTTGATAGAACAAATACTAGAGGGAAAAGTATCCTCTTTCCTATTGTTTTCAACTAGATTTAGTAATTTGCTATAAAAATGTTTGGATGAGAAACCACTTGGATAACAGGCCTTCTGCTTTCTTTTTTCATGTGTGAGACTAAATAAAAGTGTGTCTGTACATGTAGTCACATTCAATAGAACAAACTGCTTAAATATTGGCAAAACAAGGCAAGTCAAAAATGTTAATTTCTGCTACTGCACCAGAGTAGATAACCCATTTCTTAACAAATTCTCTGATTAATTAGCTTGTGAGTTCCATGTAAAAAATGATAATTTGTTCATGTTTCCTTTGACTTCTTATTAAATAAATGTCCTCAATCCACCACCTCATCCCTCCCTCATACATAGTCCAGGAGGGGGCTGGAGAATGGGAATGGGGCCTGCTGGAAAGCTGTAGAATTATAGCTCTGGGGGAACTCGTGGTGTGCTTGAGAGACACATTCCCAACTGCCATCAGTGTGCTTCTGGAGACCCAGGTGGGAGAAGAGAGTGTTGTAAAGCAGGACATACAGAGAGCTCTGGCCATTCTGTACAGAGGTGTGGAGAAGATGCTTTTTAGCTATGCCAAGTGTCAGACGTGCAACAGTGAGGGTATCCAAGTATAAACTCATTCGCTTTGGAAAAACTAGGAGCGAGGCAGAAGAAGCATTTCATGTTTCTAAGTCCAGATGGAAGACCTGAGCTCATTAATTATACCTATGGGGAATAGGGTTTGGCAGGGTGGGAGTGAGGGTTAGAGAACTCATTATTTCCCTGGAAGAAAAAGAAAGACAAAATTACAAGGTAATGGAAGGTCGAAATTATAGATAACTTCTATTTTAATTATGTATAGTAATACTAATGTAGTGAACAATAGCAAAATAGGTGCACAGGTCATTTTAGAATGGTTTATACCACTAATACCTTAATTTTAGAAGGTATAGCTATGAAATAGTGCAACTTATTTTAATATTTCAACTGAATGTTGTCCTAAAGTAAACTTGGGGAAATTATTTTAGCCATGTTGACCTTGTTAAAAAGATTTTTAGAACTCTTTCTTAGGTATAATGGTTGTGGATTTTTAAAATTACTATTTAAAAAATAACTTGGCTGGGTGTGGTGGCTCATGCCTGTAATCCTAAGACTTTGGGAGGCCAAGGCAGGTGGCTCACTTGAGGTCAGGAGTTTGAAACCAGCCTGGCCAACATGGTGAAACCCTGTCCCTACTAAAAATACCAAAAATAAATAAATAAATAAATAAATAAATAAATAAATAAATAAATAAATAAATTTAGCCAGGTGTGGTGGTGGGCACCTGTAATCCCAGCTACTCGGGAGGCTGAGGCAGGAGAATTGCTTCAACTCGGGAGGCAGAGGTTGCAGTGAGCTGAAATCGTGCCACTGCACTCCAGCCTGGGTGACACATCTCACAACGAAACAAAACAAAACAAAAAAACCTTTTCTTTGTTTAAAAAAAAAAAGATGCTTTGTCATTACAGAAAAACAGAAAATACAGATTAGCAGAATCATTTAAACTAAGTTTCGATAGTCACTAAGACCTTGCTGTGTATCTTTACAGAATCTCTTGTATCTATCTACACACACACACACCCCACAGTGTTTCTTCCTTTGTTTTTATAAAAATTGAACGTACTGAAACACTTTTGAATCTTTGCAACTAATTCTTTAGAATAACCCCAGTGATGTGATAAATCTTTATCTTTAGAGAATGATTTTTTAAAATTGCACAATGCTATACACAGCCAAGACTGAAGAATAAAGTAGATGATGATCAAGCTTTGTATTTTTAATCAGACTTCTCTTGAATCTGTTCTCTCTCTGGATTCCCATTGCCATTGACCTAATCAAGGCCCTTAACATCTCTAACCCCAATTATTTCCGTAGCCTGGCAACTGGTCTTGCCTTCAGTTTCTTACCTGCTCTAATGGCCGCCAGAATGACCTATTCAGAATATGTAATTTCTTGCCAGCCCTTTGTTTTAAAATACTGTAGTAGTCTTTCAAAGCCTTTATGCTAAAAATTTTCCCCCTAGTGTGGCATTCAGCTGAATTCTTTGCAAAAGAAGGCATTTTCTTAATGTCCTAAATAGAATCATTCCTTTCTTTCCGTTCCCAGATCATGTTGTACATACTTACCTTTATAGACCTATTACATTACATCTTAGTTTTTTGTTCCCCAAATAAGTCATGGCACAGAGGGGAAAGACTATGTCTAATTAGTCCTTGAGTCCCCACATGTAGCACACTACCTGGAGTATGCTGTTGAGGAGGCACTCAGCAAACTCAGAAGAAACGAAACAAGATGTTTTATTGAAGTGGTTTGTACAGGGGCTCTGAAATCTTTTCCAAAGATAAATTATAAAAATGCTCTGAGTGATGGACTATACTCATTCAGATGATTTGGTCTTGATATTGCTTCTTTAAAATCTTAATCTTCTAGAGCAGTGCTATCAGTAGAACTTCCCATAATAGGGGAAATGGTCTGTATCTGCACTGTCCAATATGGTAGCCAATAGCCTCATGTAGTTTTTGGGCACTTGAAATGTATCTATTGTCAGAGGAATTGAATTTTTAATTTTAGTTCATTTATGTAAGTTGTATTTGAACAGCCACATGTGACTAGTGGCCACCATATTGGACAGTAAATTTTAGAGCTGCATCTCAGCTGTAAAAGAGCAAGTCCAAATTAGTGGCACACTAATTAATGAGCCTCATTGTATCTTAACCTCATTCTTCAGAATACATGCAAACAAATGTTCACCAAAGTAGTGAGAGCAGGTTTAAAAGAGCGCTGATAAAAGCCTGAAAGGCTAAGTAACTTCTTCATTTTTTATTGTTTCTTTTTAAATATTGTATTCACAGAAGTTTGCATTTGTTGGTGAAACCACATTTAGCTGTATCTTGATTTGACCAACTTCTATAGAGGAGTGACCTAAATTAGAAGAAAATGTTAGTAACAGTAAAAATTGAGGTGGCTGTGTGTGTTTTCAAGTTGGTTTTGGATGTCCTCTTTAGATATTTTCAAAGGAAATGCTAATTAAAGAGTTCTAATTAGTTCTAATGCTAATTAAAGAGTTGTGCTTGATAAACTAGTTCTATAGAACTGCCACATGTGAAATTCTAATGGTCTGACCTGGATATATTGGTAACTCTTCTAAATCTTAACCCCAATTTTACATTTGTTTTCTACGCGAAACCAAGAAAAACGACAACAACAACAACAAAAGAGTAAATTGTACATCAGAAGTATCCTATGCATGATGTACCTATTTAAATTTTTATTGAGTCTAAGTTAACTTGTGTATTCTAAGGCTGCTGAAGTCATCAAAACAAGTTAGAATGGCATATACTGCTATTCATTTTTACCTTTTGTCTTGCTAAGAGCACCCTGATTTAATTTCACATAACAGCATGCTCAAATAAAAGTGATTTCTTTTCTGGACTTTCTCGCAGCTAGGGGTGGCCATGTAACATTATTCTAGCCAATGAGGTGTATGCTGACATTTTAGGGAAAGTATTTGCTACCTTTATTCTGCCTGAAATGAAGATATGATATGTCAATTTGGTGTTACAATCTTGTAACAGGAGGCTGCAAGCATAAGGATGAATGTCAAAACACTAAGGACAGGGTGATGGAGAGAGAAAAGGAATCTGGAACAGTCCTGAAATTGTAGAACTGCAACACCAGCTTGGACTGCCTATATCTGGATTTCTTTTTTGTGAGACAAATGAATTCCTATCTTGTTTAAATCCATATTAGTTCCTCTGTCATTTGCAGCTAAACAAATTCCTGTCACACTTAATGCACACGCATACGTGCACATGCATGAGTGCACACACACGCATACAAACCCATAGTTTTTTTGTCTTAGTTCATCCCCAAACTAGTCAGTTGGTTAAAATTCTACTGGTTTAACCTGTTGTTTCAGGCACAGCTTTAATTGAGTAGAATAGCTATCTTCTTGTCTCAATTCTATGATTAATAGTAGTTCAGGAATTACAATAACCTTTATAAAAACATGAATTTTCTTCTTCAGAGTTGGAAAAGATGCCTCTACACTTCAACTCAAAGTATTAGAAAGAATAAAATCAGGAATTCTGAAAATTGACTTTAGTCTTGGCTCTTCCAATTTTTAACTAATTATGTGGCTTTGGCAAAATCACTGTATTTGAATTAATTCGCTCAACGTTGCATGAGTGTTGTGGAAAAAAGTGAAAAAACATGCAAAAGTGCTTTGTGAACTATGCCACATTTTAATAAATCCAACTTAATGAGCACTGTTGGTTACTAGAAACTGTGCTAAGCACTTTCCATGGATTTGTTCATGTCTTCTCAGAAACCTGCTTTTAGTATTACTATAGAGTAGGGACTCATTCCCATTTCATAGATGGGCAAATTAAGGAAGTATACCTAGTAAACTGTTCAGATTCATCTCCATACTTGCCACAAAGCATAGACTAGCTGTTCGATAAATGTTTATGGGAAGAATAAATGTTCATTTTATTTATTTTGCTATCCTATAATTGCATACCATTTAGGGTATTATAAACCCATAGTTTATAATTTGGCCACATAATAAAGGACTGCTATTGGAGGCCTACTCAGCACTTCCCTGTTGTCCAGCATTCTAACAGAACATTTTCTACTAGAGATACTGAAATAATCAGCTTTTACTGAGGTAAAAATCCAGTCTAAGCATCTTTGGCTAATAACTTCTCTTGCCTACAGAGGGTTTTGAGGACATATACAAAGGATCCCTAGTCTTTAGCACACTTCCTAGCCTTCAGGCTCAACAAATATTGTTGAATGGGTAGACGTTAAATGCTTCACAGATACTGCTTTTGGGGACCCTGCAACTATTAATAGTATTATAATCATGCTGTGGTCAGTAGGGTGCATTCTGGAAAGATTTTAATAAATCTTGTATTCTTTAAACATATCAGGTATCGGAGTTTATTTACTTTTTAGTTTTTTCTAGCTTTATTGAGATATAATTGACAAAAATTGCATAGATTTGAGGTATACAATGCAGTGTTTTGATATATGTATATCTTGTGAAATAGTTACCACAATCAAGCTATTATTTCCATCATCTCACATAATTACCTTTGTGTGTGTGGTGAGAGCATTTAAGACCTACTCTCTTAGCAAATTTCAAGTATACAATATAGTATTATTAACTATAGTCACCATGCTGTTCATTAGATCTCCAGAACCTATCTGCTATGGTTCGAATGTGCCCCTAAGAGTTCATATGCTAGAAACCGACTCACCATTGTAGCAATGAGACTTTTAAGAGGTGAGTAGGCCATGAGGGCTCTGTCTTCATGTATGGATTGATGCTGTTATCGCAAGAGTGTATTTGTTATTGCAGGAGTGGGTTTGCTATCATGAGAGTGCGTTTCCTTATGGAAGATTCAGTTTAGGCTTCTTTTGCCTCTTTCTCACTCTTTCTCACCCTTCTGTCTTCTGTAATGGAGTGACTCAGCAAGAAAACTCTCACCAGATGCTGGCACCAGAACTTTTAGCCAATACATTTCTGTTCTTTATAAATTACCCAGTCTGTAGTATTCTGTGATAACAACACAAAACCAAAGGCATTATTTGTCCTGCATAACTGAAACTTTCTACTTTTTAACCAACATCTCCCCATTTTTCCTGCCTCCCAGGCCACGGAAACCACCCTTTCTACTCTCTGCTTCTATGAGTTTAACATTTTTAGATTCCATATATAAGTGAGGATCATGCAGTATTTGTCTCTTTGTGCTTAGCTTATTTTACTTAGCATAATATCCTTTAGTTTCATCCGTGTTGTCCCAACTGACAGGATTTCCTTCTTTTTAAAGGCTGAATGACATTCCTGTGTGTGTGTGTGTGTGTGTGTGTGTGTGTGTGTGTGTGTGTGTGCTTGTCTTTATCCATTCATTCATCCCTGGACACATAGGTTGATTGCATGTCTTGGCTATTGTAAATAATGCTGCCATGAACATGAAAATGCAGATATCTCTTCAAGATACTGATTTCATTTCCTTTGCATATCTATCTATTAATAGAAATGGGATTGTTGGATCATATGGTAGTGAGGAACTTCTATATTAATTTCCATAATAGTTGTACCAATTTCCATTCCCACCAACAGTGCATAAGGGTTTGCTTTTCTCCATATCCTCACCAACACTTGTTATCCTTTATCTTTTTGATAATAGCCATTCTCTTTTTTTTTTTTTTTTTTTTTTTTTGTGACGGAGTCTCACTTTGTCTCCAGGCTGGAGTGCAGTGGCGCAATCTCGGCTCACTGCAACCTCCACCTTCTGGGTTCAAGCGATTCTGCTGCCTCAGTCTCCCAAGTGACTGGGACTACAGGCGCACACCACCACACTCAGCTAATTTTTGTATTTTTAGTAAAGACTAGGTTTCACCATATTGGCCAGGATGGTGTCGATCTCTTCACCTCGTGATCTGTCTGCCTCAGCCTCCCAAAATGCTGCAATTACAGGCGTGAGGCACTGTGCCTGGCCAATGATAGCCGTTCTAATGGGTGTGAGCCGATATCTCATTGTGGTTTTTGATTTGCATTTCTCTGATGATTAGAGATGTGAGCATTTTTTAATATAACTGGACATTTGTGTGTCTTGTTTTGAGAAATGTCTTTTCAGAGCCTTTGCTCATTTTTAAATCAGGTTATTTGTCTTCTTGCTATTGAGTTGTTTGAATTCCTTATGTATTTTGTATATTAACCCCTTATTAGATGTATGGCTTGTAAATAATTTTTCCTACTCCATAGGTTGTCTCTTCACTCTGTTGATTGTTTCCTTTGCTATGCAGAAGCTTTTTAGTTTGATGCAATCTCATTTATCTATACTTGCTTTTGTTTCTTATACTTTTGGAGTAATATCCAAAAAATTCCTTTCAAGACCTATTTCAAGATTTTCGCCTGTATTTTCTTCTAGTAGTTTTACAATTTCAGGTCTCACATTTAAGTCTTTAATCCATTCTGACCTGATTTTTATAGATGATATGAGGTTAGGGTCTAATTTTATTCTTTTTCTTTCTTTTTTTTTTTTTTTTTGAGATGGAGTTTTGCTCGTTTCCCCAGCTGGAGTGCAATGGCACGACCTTGGCTCATTGCAGCCTCTGCCTCCCAGGTTCAAGCAATTCTCCTGCCTCAGCCTCGCAAGTAACTGAGATTACAGGCATGTGCCACCACTCCTGGCTAATTTTGTATTTTTAGTAGAGATGGGGCTTGCCATGTTGGTTAGGCTGGTCTTGAACTCCTGACGTTGGGTGATCTGCCCACGTCGGCCTCCCAATGTGCTGGGATTATAGGCGTGAGCCACTGCACCCGGCCTAATTTTATTCTTCTGCATGTGAATATACAGTTTTCTCAGCACCATTTATTGAATAGATTAACTTTTTCTCATTGTGTGTCCCTGGCATCTTTGTCAAAGAACAATTGACTTTAAATGAGTGGAATTATTTCTGAAGTGTCTATTCTGTTTGATTGGTGTATATGAATGTTTTTATGCCAGTATCATACTGTTTCAATTTACTACAGCTTTGTAGTATATTTTGAAATCAGGTAGTGTGATGCCTCCAGCTTTGCTCTCCTTGATCAAGATCACTGGCTATTTTGGTCTTTTGTGATTTCATGTGAATTTTAGGATTGCTTTTTCTATTTATGTAAAAAATGCCATTGGAATTTTGATTGAAATTATATTGAATCTGTAGATTGCCATGGATAGTGTGGACATTTTAACAATGTTAATTCTTCCAATTCATCAACATAGGATATCTTTTCATTTATGTGTGTCTTCTTCAATTTCTTTTATCAGTGTTTTATAGTTTTCACTGTACAAAATTTTCACCTCCTTGGTTAAATTTCTTCCTAAGAATTTTGTTGTTTTTGAATGGTATTGTAAATGGTATTGTTTTCTAAATTTATTTTTTAAATAGTTAATTGTTAGTCTACAGACTAATAATTTTGTATGTTTATTTTGTATCCTGCAACTTTACTAAATTTATTAGTTCTAAGATTTTTTGTGGAGTCTTTAGAATTTACTATACACACCATACCTTATGATGGTATTACTTATTAATTTTTGACTTTACAATGAATTTATTAAGATATAATCCCATTGTAAATAGAGGAGTTTATGAATTATGATGGTTCATCTTATGATTTTTCAACCTTTTGATTGATTTGTTGGCACATAACTTGATGCATTCCAACTTAGAATATTTTCAACTTACCATGGGTTTATTGGGATGTAACCATAAGTTTAGGAGCATCTGTATATAAGATCATGCTACCTCCAAACAGAGAAAATTTTACTTCTTCCTTTCCTATTTGATGAATTTTGTCTTCATCTTGTGTAATTGCTCTGATCAGGACTTCCAGTACTATGCTGAATAGAAATGGTGACAGTGGGCATCTCTGTCTTGTTCCTGATCTTACAGGAAAAGCTTTTAGCTTTTCACCATTAAGTATGATGTTAGCTGTGGGTGTGTAATATGGCCTTTATTAGGTTGAGGTACATTCTTTCTATACCTAATTTGTTGAGAGTTCTTATCATAAAAGGATTTGAATTTGGTCAAATGCTTTTTCTGCATCTATTGAGATGATCATATGATTTCTATTCCTCATTCTGTTAATGTGGTATATCACATTTATTGATTTGCATATGTTGAATGATCCTTGCATCCCAGGGATAAATCCCATTTGATCATGATGTATGGTACCATTAATATGCTGTTGAAGTTCATTTGCTAGTATTTTGTTGAGGAATTTTTGTATCTATGTTCATCAGGGATATTGGTCTATATTTTTCTTGTAGAATCCTTATCTGGCTTTGTCTTCAGGGTAATGAAGACCATAAAATGAATCTGGAAGTGTTCCCTCCTCTTCAATTTTTCAGAAAAGTTTGAGAAAAATTTATGTTAATTATTCTGTAAAAATTTGATAGAATTTACCAATGAAGCCATCAGGTTCTGGGGCTTCTTTTGTTGGGAGGTTTTTGGTTGCCTATTCAATCTCCTCACCCATTATTGGTCTGTTCGCATTTCCTATTTCTTCATGTCTTCAGTCTTATTAGGTTGTATGTTTCTAGAAATTTATTCATTTCTTCTAGGTTACCCAATTTGTTGATATAGAATTGTTCATTTTAGTCTCTTATGATCCTTTGTATTTCTGTACTATCAGTGTAATGTTTACTCTTTCATTTGTGATTTTATTTATTTGAGTCTCTTCTTCATTAGATTTGTCAATTTTATCTTTTCAAAAAGCCAACTCAATTTCATTATTTTAAAAAAATGTTTGTCTCTTATTTATTTCTGTTTGTATCTTTGTTATTTCTTTCCTTCTGTTAACTGTTGTATAGTTTGTTCTTCTTTCTAGTTCCTTGAAGTTTAAGGTTAAATTGTTTGAGATCTCTTTTTTTTTTTCTTAATATAGGCAGTCAGCACGACAAACTTCCCTCTTAGAACTGCTTTCATTATAAGTTTGGTATATTGTGTTTCTATTTTCATCTCAAGATTTACTTCTAACATTTTAAAGAATTTCTTCTTTGAATCATTGGTTGTTTCAGAATATGCTAATTTCCACATATTTATGAATTTTTCAATTGTTTTCCTGGTATTGATTTTTAGTTTTATACCATTGTGGTTGCAAAAGATAATTTAAATCTTATATTTGTTAAGACTTACTTATCTATTTTGGAGAATGTTCACAGAACATGCACTTGCAAAGAATATGCATTCTACTGCTGTTGGATGGAATATTCTGTATATGTCTGTTAGGCCCATTTGGTCTGTAGTGTTGTTCAAGCCCTCTGTTTCCTTAGTGATTTTCTGTACAGATGATCTATGCATTGTTGAAAGTGGGGTACTGAAATAATCTACTATTATCAAATTGTTATATGTTTCTTCCTTCAGGTGTATTAATATTTTGCTTTATTTACATTTAGATGCTCTGATGCTAAGCACTTATATATAATTGTTATATTCTCTTGATGAATTGACTCCTTTTTCATTATATAATGACCTTGTTTGTCTTGTTACAGTTTTTGACCTATAGTTTATTTTGTCAGACATAAGTATAGCTACCCTGGCTCCCTTTAAGTTACTATTTGCGTGGTATATCTTTTTCCAGCTCTTCACTTTCAGTATATGTGTTGTCCATAAACCTAATGTGAGTCTATTGTGGGCAGCATATAGTTGGATCTTGTGTTTGTTTTATAAAATTATTCATTCAGCCATCTATGTCTTTTGGTTGGAGAATTTAATCCATTTAAAATTAAAGAGTTATTGATAGATAAGGACTTACTACAGGTTGAGTATCCCTAATCTGAAAATTCAAGATCCAGAATACTCCAAAACTTGAAACTTTTTGAAGGATGACATGATGCTCCAAGGAAATGCTCAGTGGAGCATTTTGGATTTGGGATTTTCAAATTAAAGATTCTGAGCTGGTATGTATAATGCAAATATTCTAAAATCCAAAAAAAAAAAAAGTCTAAAGTACCTCTAGTCCCAAGAATTTCACATAAGGAATACTCAACCTATACTGCCATTTCATGAATTCTTTTCTGTTTTTTAGTTCCTTTGTTTTTTTTCATTCTCTCTTGCTGTCTCGTTTTGTGATTTGATGGTTTTGTATAGTGATGTGCTTTAATATCTTTCTCTTTTGTGCAACTACTACAGGTTTTTTTCCTTGTGATTACCATGAAGCTTGCACAAGACATCTTATAGTTATAACAGTCTACTTTAAGCCAGCAAGAGCTTAACTTTGCATGCAAAAACTCTACACTTTCTCTCTCCCCTGCTCATAATTTGTTATTGATGCCACAATTTACATCTTTTTTACATTGTATGTCTATTAGAAAATTATTGTAGCTATAGTTATTTTTAATACTTTTGTCCTTTGACTTTTATACTAGAGTTAAAAGTGATATACACACCACCCCATTACAGTATTACAGTATTCCGAATTTGACTATATTATTATCTTTACAATGAATTTTTTACTTTTGTATATTTTAATGTTACTAATGAACATCCTTTCATTTCTGCTTGAAGATTTTCTTTAGCATCGCTTATAAGGCAAGTGTAGTAGGAAGAAAATCCCTCAGCTTTTGTTTGTCTTTATCTCTCCTTCATTTCTGAAGGACAGCTTTGCCAGGTGTAGTATTTCCGGTTGGAAATCTTACTCATCTTATTCTTTCAGTACTTAGCAATATGATCTCACTCTCTTCTGGCATATGAGGTCTTTGCTGAGAAATCCACTATTAGCCTGATCCACTGAAATCCCTTTTATGTGACAAATTGCTTTTCTTTTGCTGCTTTCAAAATTCTTTGATTCTTGACAGTTTGATTATAAGGTGTCTCAATGAATATCTCTTTATGTTTAATCTATTTAAAGTTCTTTGGGCTTTGTAAAGCTGGAGGTTCATTTCATCCACATATTTGGGAAGTCTTCTGTCATTATTTCTTTAAGCTTTCTTCTCTCTTTCTCTGCTTCTATTTGAGTCTCTCATAGTGCATATATTGGTTTGCTTGATGGTGTCCCATAAGTCCTGTAGACTCTTTTCATTCTTTTGTTGTTGTTGTTCCTCTGACTGGATAATTGCAAGTAGCCTGTTGTTGAGCTCACTGATTCTTTCTTATGCTTGATTTTGCCAGCTTGTTGAAACTTTCTATAGAATTTTTCAATTGGATAATGTTTCTCAGCTCCAGATTTTCTGTTGGGTTTATTTTGGTGTGGCTTCAATCTCTTTGTTGAACTTCTAATTTTGTTCATGAATTGTTTTCCTGATTTTGTTTCGTTATCTATCTGCATTCTTTTGCAGCTCACTGAGCCTCTTTAAGACAATTATTTTGAATTAATTGTCAGGCAGTTTGTAGATTTCTATTTGTTTAGGATCAGTAACTGATACTTTATTTTGTTCCTTTAGTGTTGTATGTTTTCTTGATCTTTTTGGCCTTGCTTTGGTGTCTGGCATTTGAAGAAGTAGGCATGTCTTTCAGTCTTTACAGACTGGCTTCAGCAAGGAAAGTACTTCACCAGTCAGCCCATCCACAGATTCTGGGTGGGCTGACTGAAAGGGTCTATTGGTGGGCTTCATACTAGAGTCCCTGAGTGGTCTGAACTGGTGACGCTTTCCATGGGTGGATGGGCCTGGTGCCTCAATCCATGGAGACTGGCCTGGTACTGGTACTAGAGTCTACTGGAGTGAACCTAGTGACTAGATCTGGGAGGATGGGCCTAGAGCTTGGGTCCAGGAGGGCAGGCCTGGAGTCTAGGCTTGTAGGGGCTGGCCTGAAGCCTATGTTAATGGGGGCTGAACTGGCACTGAGGCAGGCCTTGATTCTGAGTCTGTAGAGGCTGGCCTGTGGCTGGGGTGGGCTTGGAGCCTGGGTCCTCAGAGTCTCAGGGGGCCAGTGTAGCCCTAGTGTACACTGAGGCAGGCCTGGTGCTGGGGTTTGCAGTGACATTTGATGCTCATTGCACTCTCCTTCCCCACTCACAGAGGGCCTTTCTGTCCATACTACACTACTCAGGCTACTACTACTTGGGGGTGGAGTGATATAGGTAATGTGAAACTGTCCTTTCTACTCTCTCCAGTGCATCCTTCCCCATCTCTATGCTCCACCATGTGCCATAATCTCTCAACTAGATTTTCCAGCTACTGTGAAGGTATTCTCATGTATGGATGGTTGTTCAGATTGATGTTTCTGTGAGGAAACTAGTGACGGAAGCTCCTATTCCACCATCTTACTGATGCAACTCTGGAGTTTACTTTTTAAAGAGCAGGCAAATATGAGATTGGTTTCCAGTATCACTATTTGGGCAGAGGCATTGATATTCATGAGATGCACTCACATGGTAAATCTCCACAAAAAAAGGAGGTACTTTAGGCCTTTCTGGGGCTACTCCATTTCTATTATATTTTTCTTCAAAGGAGGCTGATGCACTGAGTTATTTCATCAGCCACAGGATAACAGGATCCTGTGGTAGAGGATTGCCCACATGAGGACACCTTCCAGGATGTCAAGGAGTTCCTGGCTTCATGGTCTATGCTAATGCATTCTAATGATCATGGACCGCTATTTCCTATCTTTGACCCTTCCGTTCACTGTGAAGGAAATTTTCTTAGTCACAGAATGCTAAATGGCACTAAAATACCTATTTTTAAAAAATTGCTACCAATATAGAGGTATTAATATATTAGTAAAGAAGCTCATAGTGAAAGTCCAGAAGTTCCATGATGATCTTGAAACTTAGATGCTTTTGTAATTTATACTGATTATAAACCTCTTTTGGAAACACATTTCTAAGGAGAAATCTGAATTCTTGGTGATGTCCGTAACAATTTATATTGTTAGATTCTTTTGTTCATTGCTGCTGATGAGACATTTGTCTATAAGCCCAGAAAAGCCAGGCTGAAGGTCAGTGTCCTCTGCTATTTCCCACTGTAGATATTGTGCCACTGAAAGTTTTACTTTTAGAAGGTTTTCCTGACCAAATTTTTCTAATGGGCAAAAGCAATAAATTAATCACTAATTGACTAACATTATTGATCACTTACTGTATAGTAGGCCACATATTTGACTTGGTTCCTAGGATATAAGAATTAATGAAACTATCCTTAAGAAGTATTACAGTACAGTGCAGTGGTCCTCAAACTTTTGTGTGCAGCAGACTCACTTGGGTAGCTTATTAAAATTTCTACTTTTAGACTTCACCCAGAGACTAGGGCTGTCAAGTTGAGAAATTACCAAGGGAGGATAAGGGAGAGGGTGGCCTTCACATTGTATTCTATGAGAAGGGTGCTCCCTGAAATGTCATGTACTGTTTGTGTGAATGTAGAGTCTGAGAAATATGGGCTTTGTGATGTCTTCCCATCGTCAATTTCTCCATCTCTTGGTGCATACACATCCCCCAATTCCCACCCAATGTGCTTTAGGAGAAGATGTCTCCATGTCTGCTTTTAAGAAGGCACATGGCTCAAAGTAAATCTGTGCAAGTACGTCTCTTGAGTGATTCGCTCAGGAATGGGAACTTGACCTAATTCAGCTTAGCAAGATGTGAAGTGTTTTTCCTGCAACTTTTAAGGCAGGTTGCTTCCTTACATAGAGAACTTGGAGGAACGAGCTCTTCTCTCTTCCAAGATGTGGTGGAGGAAGCAAGTTCCCAGGGAATTGGGGATAGTTCTCTTCAGAATGAAGCTGATGCCATGGAGGGCAGAGAGGAAGAGACAAAAGGAACCAGATGTGTGATGATATTGATGAGCTACTGAACCCCTTTGACTCATTAAGTCCTCTTTCTTTGAAGAAAGAGTTTGAGTTTTGTTATTATTGTTGTTGTTACTTGCAACAAAATAAGCCCTAGCTGGTATGGCAACTTTGGGAGTGGGCCCAGAAATCCTAATTTTTAATAATCTACTCCAGGTGATTCTGAAGTAGACGGTGGTAGATCTAGTCTAATATATTTGGCCAGAATTATTTTCAGAGAGTAGTGGTGTTTACTTCATAATCTTAGTTTTGAAGACTTTTAAGGAGAACACATAGGTTAGTTAAAACATTTAACTAAATTATATTTAATGAATTGTATGTTGATGGATTGAGTCATTTGTCCGTAGTACATCTGCCAGAGATAAATGCTTTTGAAAAAAATCCTACATTTTCTGCTTTTCTATCATAAGACATGATTTGATTGCAGCCACAGTGACACCAATTATATATTTTTTATCTGTTGAAGTGGAGAAAATGGGCTCTAAGTAATCATTACTTAGTGAAAATTGAACTGTCATCTCAAATTGTCAATACTCAGATTAGAAAATGTAAACAAAACTAAGTTCCTTTACTCTTCAACTCCACACAAGTGAAAATGCTGCATAAAATTTGATAGGCACAATTATCATCATTTTACCCTTTCAGATGTCAGCTCATTCTATTGATCTACATTCTGTTGATGTAATAGTTAAATATTAAAATTTAATGAATGCCAGTTAAAAATGGACCCCCAAAATGTATTGTTTATTAACCTGTATCTTAAAGGATTAGGCATAAAAAGATTTTATGAATGACAGTTCATGAATATTATTAATGTGAATTGAATTAATATTCATTTACTTGAAGCTGCTCATTATATCTGTGATTAACCTTTTACCTTCCTAAAGAGATGATGTTTTATAAGGAAAAGACACAAAGGAAAAGGGATTAAAATAATCTTAAAATAGTCTCATAAAGGGCTGGGCGCGGTGGCTCACACCTATAATCCCAGCACTTTGGGAGGCCGAGGTGGGTGGATAACTGAGGTCAGGAGTTCGAGACTGGCCTGACCAACATGGTGAAACCCCGTTTATACTAAAAATACAAAAATTAGCTGGGTGTGGTTGTGGGCACCTGTAATCTCAGCTACTAGGGAGGCTGAAGCAGGAGAATCGCTTGAACCCGGCAGGCAGAGGTTGCAGTGAGCTGAGACTGTGCCATTGCACTCCAGCCTGGGTGACAAGAGTGAGACTCCGTCTCAAAAAAAAAAAAAAAAAAAGTCTCGTAAAATTCCAACCTGCATTTTTTTTTTATTTTAATTTTTTTCGGAGACAGAGTCTCATCTGTCCAGGCTGAAGTACAGTGGTGTGATCTTGGCTCACTGCAACCTCTGCTTCCCAGGTTCAAGTAATTCTACTGCCTCAGCCTCCTGAGTAGCTAGAAATACAGGCACCTGCCACCATGCCCGGCTAATTTTTGTATTTTTAATAGAGATGGGGTTTCGCCCTGTTGGCCAGTCTGGTCTTAAACTCCCGATCTCAAGTGATCCGCCTGCCTCAGCCTCCCAAAGAGATGGGATTACAGGCATGAGCCACCATGCACCGCCCCAACCTGCCCTTTTAAAAGACCTTCATTCCATTAAATAAAATAATGTTATATGATTCTAAAACCCTTATCTGTGGCAATGAGTCTCTTCATGACTGTTTGAGGGAAAAATTCCACTGGTCAGTACAGTAGGCAGAATTTCTAAAATCATCCCCCAAGATGTTATATCCAACTACCCAGACCCTCTGCATGTGATGAGATTCAGTCCTGTGATGGTGTTGTATTATATGGCATAGTTAACCTTAAGATAGGGAGAATATCCAGGTGGGCCTCATCTAATCAGATAGGCCCTGAAAACAGGAATGCTTTCTGATGCTGCCAGCAGAAGTCAGAGAGATTCTTAGTGTGAGAAAGGCTCCCTGTGCCATTGCTGGCTTTGATGACAGAGAGAGCTATCTGAGAATGTAAGTGGCCCTAAGGAGCTAAAAGAGAGGCCCCTGGCTGACTGCCAGTCAGGAAACAGGGATCTCAGCCCCACAACTGCAAGGAACTGGATACTGCCAACAACCTGAATGAGCTTATAAGTGGGTTCTCTGTAGAGCCTCCAGATAAAAGCCCAGATGGCCCACACCTGGGCCTCAGCCTTGTGAGCCCCTAAGTAGAGAAACCGGTGAAGCCTACTCCTGACCCACAGAACTATGAGATCATGAATGTTTTTTTTTAATTAATCTACTTAATTTGTGATTTTTGACACCATAATAGAAAACTAATATAGTCAGGAAAATTATGAGCAAAACATTCACGGTAGAAGGGATCTCAGAGAGCTTCTAACCACTGGTGTCCTTGACAAAGAAGGACCCTAGACACAGTAGACAGTGTGAAACCCAAGCTATTTCAAAGCTCTAAAAAGCCTAAATTAAGTCACACAATTATTAATCAAATAGTGCTGTACAGACCTACTTAACCTTGATAGATGATAATCAAGTTTCTTTGTTTTTACCCTCACTAGAATGTAAGCACCACTTGGGCAGGGATGTTGACTCTTCTGTTCACAGTTATCCTTAATGTCAAGAACAGAACCTGATACCCAGTAGGCATTCAATAAACAAATACATAATTAGGGCCAAAATTATATCATCAGTATGATAAAAACACATTATTCAACTGTTAACAATTACTTATGCTTGAATTCATTAAAGAGATAATAATAAACTTTGAATGTGTAAATGCAGTTAGATTGGCCAAATCATTCAAAACATAGGCTTCATGGGTAGGAAAAAATAACAAAAGGGACATTAGTTATTAATTTGTGTTTTTTTTGAAAAACATTTTGTCCATTCCCCCTTCTAAAAATCCAGATGAGGAAACTGAAGCCAAGTGAGGTTAAGTAATAAATATGTAACTGTTAGCTAAATTGTGGTACTGGTTCTAAATGTTTGTGATAGAAAGCCGTTTAATCAAAATGAATCTGTCCACATTCGAAACTGATGGGTGCTGCTGATAAATCAACTGTGGGAAGAAAAAGTGAAAACAGACTAAAAAAAGCAGGCTTCAGAGCCACAGTTACTGGAACACAAACTCCATTCCATTTAGTTTAATTAAACCAAACTTAGCAAACATCTATGATGTGAGATATTAATAGACACTCTGGGTTATGAGGATGAACAGACATGCCCAGATCCTCCAGGATTTCCAGTCTAGGAGGGGAGCTAAGGCATGAACCCAGGTAAATGCAATACAAGGTAGAATGTGAAGGGTACTACTGGGGGGTACAAATAAAGAACTATGGGAGCAAAACTGGTGGAGAGCTTTTTTGTAGCTGGAAAGGTGGGGAAAAGTTTCACAGAGGAGGTGTCATCTGTTGCCCTGGAAATGGCACTGAGTGGAGTTTCCTCTAAAGTTTATTTACATTGTACAGAAGAAATGTCACATCAGAAACTTGTCCCTTGAGGCCAGGCATGATGGCTCATGCCTGTAATCCCAGCACTTTGGGAGGCTGAGGTGGGCGGATCACTTGAGGTCAGGAGTTTGAGACCAGCCTGGATAACATGGTGAAATCCTGTCTCTACTAAAAAATACAAAAATTAGCTGGGCATGGTGGCACGCACCGTAATCCCAGCTACTCAGGAGGCTGAGGCAGGACAATCGCTTGAACCTGGGAGGCAGTTTGCAGGGAGCCAAGATTGCCCACTGCACTTCACCCTGAGTGACAGAGTGAGACTCAGTCTCAAAAAAAAAAAAAAGAAAGAAACTTGCTCCTTGAATTCTTGTTTCATCACTGGTCTGAAATCTAAACAGAAGGAAAGCCAGCTGTAGAATTGCTATGTTCCAGAAATAAATATACAGAAACTTCTTAAATTGAAAGTTACACTCGATTTGTATTCTACTGAATTACAAGCACTCATAAATGTTTATTTCCTTGTAATTCATTTCTTTGTTAGATACAATGATGCTTAATTCCACCTTGTGGTTAACGTGGAGGATGGAGCATTCTGAGAATGTGAGAACATACAGCACTAATTTATTAGGATAGCTGCTTTCTGTCTGAGATGAATCCCATCTCCAATCCCATTTGTATTTTGTAGTTTTTTCTCTCCAGGCCAGGCAATTAATCCTTATGCTCTTTAGCACTCTGGCACTTAGCCTCTGTTTCAAGTGTTCTTTTTACATTTGTTGAATGTTTCCTCAAACTTAAATACCGAATTGACTAAAATGCATGGAAAAATACAAAGAATATGTGAGAAATATGTTATTTTTTAAAAAGTTACTTTCGTTATTCATCTGGAACTGCACCTGTGGTGTATAGTAATCTCGGTTACATTGCCCTCTAGTGGTGGTAGTACGGTAGTCATCTTATTAACATTTATTGAATATCTGCTGTGTAGGTAGGCTCTGAGGATATTGAGACAATTAAGAAACAGTTCCTACTCTTGTTGATTTCTCATTCTAGCAGAAGATGCATTTCAGCATAGCACGTGTGAAAAGGAACTGTGTAGGTAGGTAGTCATCTTTTCAGTAGTCATCTTATTAACATTTATTGAATATCTGCTGTGTAGGTAGGCTCTGAGGATATTGAGACAATTAAGAAACAGTTCCTACTCTTGTTGATTTCTCATTCTAGCAGAAGATGCATTTCAGCATAGCACGTGTGAAAAGGAACTATAGCAGGAGCACGTACAAAGGTCTATGAGTGCTCTGGGGAAGGAATAATTAATTCTCTCTAAGTGCATCCAGAAGGGCTTTTCAAACACATTACACTTCAGCAGCACCTTGGAAAGTGCATAGGAGTGTTTCAGGTATTCTGTCTTCAAGAGACCCATCTCACATGCAATGACATCCATAGGCTCAAAGTAAAGGGATGGAGAAAGATCTCTCAAGCAAACAGGAAAAAAAAAAAAAAAAAAGAAAGCCGGTGTTGCTTTTCTTATTTCAGAAAAAACAGACTTTAAAGGAACAATGATCAAAAAGACAAAGAAGGGAATTACATAATGGCAAAGGGTTCAATTAAACAAGAAGACTTGACTATCCTAAATATATATGCACCTGACATTGGAGCACCCATATTCATAAACAATTTTTAGGAACCTATGAAGGGACTTAGATAACTACACAGTAAGTGTGGGAGACTTGAACACCCCACTGACAGCATCAGACAGATCACCGAGGCAGGAAACTAAAAAAGATATTTGGCACCCAAACTCAACACTGGACCAAATGGACCTAACAGACATTTGCAGAACACTACCGCCAACAACAACAGAACATACATCGTTCTCATCCGCACATGGCACAGACCACACACTTGGCCACAAAGCAATTCTCAATAAATTCTAACTGAAATCATACCAACCATACTCTCAGACCACAGCAAAATAAAAATAGAAATCAATATTAAGAAACTGCTGAAAACCACACAATTACATGGAAATTAAACAATCTGCTCCTGAATGACTTTTAGGTAAACAATGAAATTAAGGCAGCCATCAAGAAATTATCTGAAATGAATGAAAACAGAGATATAACATATCAGAATCTCTGGGACACAGCTAAAGCAGTGTTGAGAGAGAAGTACAGTGCCTTCATCACTAAATGCCTACATCAAAAAGTCAGAAAGGTATCAAATTAACAACCTAATATCACAACTAGAGGAACTAGAAAAGCAAGAGCAAACTAACCCCAAAGCTAGCAGAAGAAAAAAACCAAAATCAGAGCTGAACTAAATTCAGATGTGAAAAACCATACAAAAGATCAGTGAACCCAAAAGTTGGGGTTTTGAAAGAATAAATAAGATTGATAGACCACTGGCTAGATTAATAAAAGATCCAAATAAACACAATTAGAAATGACAAAGGTGACATTACCATTGACCCCACAGAAATAAAAAAAAAATCCTCAGAGACTATTATGAACACCTCTATGCACACAAACTAGAAAAGCTAGAAGAAATAGATAAATTCCTGGAAACATACAACACCCACCCCCCGCCGCCCCAAGATAGAACCAGGAAGAAACTGAATCCCTGAACAGACTAATAATGAGTTCTGAAATTCAATCAGTAAGTAAAAAAAAAAAAAACCTACCAAACAGAAAAACTGCTGGACCAGATGGATTCACAGCTAAATTCTACCAGATGTATAAAGAAGAGCTGGTACCAAATCCTACTGAAACTATTACAAAAAATCGAAAAGGAGGGATTCCTTCATAACTCATTCTAGGAGGCCAGCATCATTCTGATACCAAAACCTCACAGAGACATAACCTATTTAACTATCACAATCCAGTTGATTTGTTGTATTTGCTTACATTGTGGGTGAGTGTCTTTTCTTTGTGCTGTAAAGAAGCTTGAGACTATTTCTGGCTTCTGGGAGTCCAGTCAACACCTGTGCAGACTCTTGGACTATGCTGAGCTCAGCCACCATTCAGCTGCATACCTTAGGCAGTTTCTTCTGATATATAAATATTTTTCAGGTGTGTGGAATAGGGGACGAGTGAAAGGGTGAGCGGAATAATCGTCTATGACTTAAGATCCTTCCCTCTGCAAAGGCAGCATCCTGTAGGGAAGCGAACATGGGTTCTGGAGGCAGACAAAGCTTAGGTCAAATCCTGGCTCTGCCACTCGCTGTGTGATATTGGAAGGTGTTTTGGTTTATCTGAATTCCAGTTTTCTTATCTGTAAAAAGGAGATACTAATACCTATCTCCAGGATTGCTGGAGGGATTAATAAAAGTATATAAAAAGCACCTGGCACAGCGAAAGTAATCTGTAAAGATTAATTACCTTCCCAAGTCCCCTTAATCACTGAAACAAGCTTAAGCTATACCAAACATCCACTTAAATATAGGTACAATGAAACAAATTTTATATGTGTTCCATTTTGCCAAAACTACCTAACATCTAGGAAGGGTCTTACGATCTGAAACTTGATCTCATCTGTCTCATCGCATTGGATCCTCACACAACCATGGGAGGGAGGGTATCTTAACATCTTTCACCCACCACTTACTGAGAGTCTGCTCTGTGCAAAATAAAATGGTGGGATTAAAGCACCCAATAGATGCCCTCCAGACACCCCACCCACCCCTAGTCAGGTAAGAAGAGGCAGATGATAAAACTAGCTACAATTCAGCTTAATAAATGCCATGGAACAGCTAAACAGAAGGTACTAATGGGGCACGGAGTAAGGACAACTAATTAAAGCTGCTCTTGAGGTAAAGTGGGCAGGTAAACGGAATCAGGCAGAATAAGTAAGAGTTTCTCTGGTGGGAGAAGGGAGGAAGGGTGCATGTTTTGGGGGTGATGAAAGTGAGCAAGTGAGGGAGAGAGCTGTGCAGACAACGGATGGAGTCGACCTTTCTGTGAAGAGAAATCCCAACTTCCTGAAGACAAAAAGTCCACATTTGTGATCAAATGAGTCTCTAGGTCATCACACTTTGGTCATTTATTTATGTGTATGATGGACATAGTGTTACGGAATGGGCTTTGTAGCCCAGGCAACTGGAGCTTCTTAGAAAAACTAAGTTACTTCTAACTGAAGTAACTGAGCCGTGCTCCAGTTAAGGCCTGAATCAAAATCATGAGTTAAATCAGCAGTGTTTCTAATTCTAATCAGACAAGCAATAATTGTTTTTGGAGTTATGGTGTCTATACAATTATTTCATATTTGCAGATATTCCTGTGATTTTTTTTCCTAAAGAAAACCATATGTGTTCCAGACTATTAAAACTGCCTTTAAAAAGTGGGGAAAGTTTCTTAGCTAACCATATGATATACTTATTCACTCTGTCTTTGCCCATTCCATCCATGCAACCTGCTCTTCGGCAGATGAGGCTGTCTTGGACTTACTCCCCATTTTCTCAGCTGAAAAGACAGCTCTCAAAAATCAGAATGCCAGTACAATACCCCCACCCTCTATCCTTGGCTTTGCTTTATGTGGTTTCGGTGACCTGAAATCGACTCTAGTCTGAAAATACTAGATAGAACACTTCAGAAATAACCAATTCATAAGTTTTTAACTGTGTGCCATTCTGAGTAGCGTGATAAAATCTTGTGCCATCCTGTTCTGTCCTGCTCTGATGGGAATCCTCCCTTTGTCCAGCATATCCACCCTGTCTATGTTACCTACCTGTTTGCCACTTAGTAGTTACCTTGATTGTTGCTGAATCACAGTGCTTGTGTTCAAGGTCGGTAGTAGCCTAATGCTAAGTCACAATGCCTACGTCATTTACCTCACTTCATCTCATTGCATCACGCACACCATATTTTATCATCCCACATCATCACAAGAAGGTGAGTGCAGTACAATAAGGTATTTTGAAAGACAGCAAGAGACCTCATCCACATAACTGTTTAATGGTATCTTGTTAGAGTTGTTCTATTTTATTATTAGCTATTGTTATTAATCTCTTACGGTGTCTAAGTTATAAACTAAACTTTATCACAGATACGTATGTATAGGAACAAACATAGTGCACATAAGTTTCTGGACTGTCTGTGGTTTCAGGCATCCACTGGCGGTCTTGGAACGTATGCCCCGTGGATAAGGGGGATTACTGTACTGTAGTGAGATAAAGGAACACAGAGCTTCCAAGCCCGGATGGTGACAGTTGTGCTACAAGATGCACAGCAGACTTTCTCTCTCCCTAACTTGGGAAGGGTTGAATTCTCTAGCCTTGATTACTGGCATGAACAACCAAACATTTACATTTTTAGAGTCTTTTTTTGGGTGAATGTTTGGTGTGTAGAACTCTTCCTCCAAGGATAATTTTAGCATGAAAAGTGCACCAAATTATTTCATATCCTGACAAGTTTCAAAATATGAGTGGGTGAGTAAGGAAGAGGGTTTATTCATGCTCAGGAAATAACAATGGTGTCAGTACAATCCAAGAGGTTTGGAAAAAGTGTACATACACATGTACACAATCACACACACACATATGCACTCTCACTTCCCAGAAAATTGAAATTAATTTTAGCACATTGAAATTATGTTACTTGGGTGTTTCTTTTAAATGCCAAGGAATAAATTACTTTGGCATTATAGACAAACAGTTCTAATCCACAGAAAAGAAGGCATAGAGTTTGGGCTTACAAAGTATTATAGCAGAATTACTGTTGCAAATGCAACATCTTTCCCCAATATACCACCCCCTTCTTTCCTGGGGCTTTCCCTCATGGAACACCAAAATATCAATAGGGCAAGTAAGGTAGAGATTCAGGGTATATACCAATTATCCTGTGTGGTTGCAGAATACACATTTGCAAGGGCAAAATGAAACAGCCCGAAAGAATAAGTACACATCTAATTTGCAGAAATAATTACTCATATTTTCTGGCATTCCTCATTCTTCTCCTTTTCATTTTTTTCCTCCTACCTCCCAAGTTTTGAGAAAAGAATACAAGATGTAGTTTTTATGTACAATACCTTCTCAGGTGGGCTGCCACTGCCCTTGGTAGCAAGTAAAATAGTAGACTTGAAGTGACTGCTCTATTTCGGTATATTTTGCAGAGTACAAAACAATGTAAGATCTCAGTTTAATAGTTCTATGCACTTACATAATGAGAGTTAATCTACTAATACATGCAAGTTTAAATCGGGGAAATTTCATTTCTAAATGACAGGGGAAAGTAGACTATCTCTTACAATTTGAGAATTCACACCTTTTTTCTTTGACCTCAGTTCCTGACATATACATAGTAGTAAAATAAAAATGACCCACACTCCCACAGCATGGAGATGACTACCATATGCACACATCACATGCATGACCTTGGGAGGGCTGTGGGGAGGTGGTCTCCAGGCCAAGGCTGCAAGTTTGCCCACGCACTGTGTGTGCTGGCACTTGGCTGGAGTGGAGCACCGCTGCGTGTTCTACACTTCACAGCCCACAGCTTTAAAGCAGGAGCAAAAAGAAGCAAATGGAAGTACACTGGAACTAGGAAGAATAGCCTCCCCCTCTGACAGCATACCCCAGCACCTGCATTGATAAAGCTTAACAGTGTGTTTGCTGCAAAGGAAAAATGCTTAAAGGGTCCAGTTGTGTTATCCCAGAGCAGGTAATGAGGAGTGTATTTGGAGGTGAGGGGCAATAAATTGATAACTGGTCTACCACCCAAGCAGAAGGGAGGAAGGAAGGCTGCCCAGACACTGACTTTGGATGACTTGAGGAAGGCCAGTTTCACAGAAAAGCAGGCTTCCTTTCTCTGGTTTCCCAGGGCAGAGGCTCTGAGTCCCTGAGAACTCTTAGCCCCTCATTATCTAGCCTTGGAAGCCTAATTTGTCTGGAATATCTCTCTCACAATTCCCATTTGCTCAGTCACTTACCAAACTTTCAAAGAACTTCCCACAAGGTGGAAAGAAAACAAAAAGTGACTCTCCAATGCTTGTGATCTGTGGGGCCCTAGGAACCTGAGCCCTGGCAAGACTCTCTTTTCCTCCTTTGGTTAGAGCAGGTATCTTCCCAGGCACACTGGAGATCCTCAGAGCCACTTGCTGGTCCTTTGCCTCCTAGGCCTCTCCCATATCAAATTCTCCAGAGCTGCTCTTCTCCACCTTCCCTATATCTGCAGTTTCCTAAGCTTTACTCCAAGTCCCCTCTCTTGGTAGGTGACCTGGCCATCTATTTTATCAAGATTTCAGGCCAAATGGTTTCACCTTCTTAGACTTCTCTTTCCTTTGTCTCAAATGTTCTTCTTCTTCTTCTTCTTTTTTTCATCCTTGAAGAAGAAATACTCCTCCTTGTGGTGCCCACCACAGCCCTGCCGAGTGGACAGTGGGCAGGATCTTGCCTTTGAGCCACAGATGATTACAGTATGACTCAAAGCTAGACCATTTTTTTGGCCAAGACTGGACAATCTAGTTCTCCCATTGAAAAATTAAATAAACTCAAAGATGATAAGTAACTCCTGTCTACAGGCTTGACCCCAAAACTGCTGTGGAGTCAGGATTGTGACTGACCATCTGGGCCACACGCTAGGGAAGCAGAGAGTAGAAGGAGGATGAAGCAGGGAAGCAGAGACCAGAAAAAGACAGTCTGTGGCCCCAGAGTGAACAAGATGGTGGAAATGGCTTCCAAAGCACTGTCCAGGTCCTGTGAGGCTGCATCTCCAAACTTGGCTTCTGGAAAATTACTTAAATTATGTCAGTATCTTCCAATTTTCACTTGTGCTAGTTTGAATGAGTGTCTTTTTTAGGCTAACTTTCTGCTTTGTCTCTTTCTTGGCCAAGGCTCTCGACCTTGACATTATAAACATTTTGGGCAAGATAATTTGTTGTTGGGAGAGGTGTGTCCTATGATTGCAGGTTGCTTTAGCAGAATCACAGGTCTCTGCCCACTAGATGCCAGCCTCTCCCCACAACCCTACCCCAGTTCTGACAACCAAAAATATCTCCAGGATTCCCAAGCCTCCATCCAGGAGGATGCCAAGAATCGGGGGGCTGCCCTGCTCTGTGCAGTTTGGGGCCTTGGAGATGCAGTGGGCAGGGAAGTTAGGTGTAGGGCTTTGGCCTGGTGAACAAGTAGAGCACAGCAGGGGCTGCTCAGAGTGTGGACTGAGTTTTTCTGGTATTTTGTGTGTATGCTGCCTTTCTTTTCTAACCAATAGCTGGTTTTGCCTGTGACACCATGCTCAGTGCTCTCTCTATCCCAGCTGCCCACTTGAAGCATCGCAAGGTTTGAAGTTGGCATTTTAAAACAAGGCAGAATTCAGAAGAGAGCATAGGTGAGGCTACTTCAGGAAGCTATGGGGCTGAAGTTTTGGGGCACTGTACCAAGAAGGGCCTGAACGCAGATAAGAGTCTGAGATGAGATCAGTTCAGGTGGAGCTGGTTATTGAGATCCATTGAGATCTGGGAAGGGGAGCCTGGATCTGACTGCCCTAGTAGGACTCGGAGCCAACCAGTGAGATGATGAAAGTGTTTCATGAAGATCACTTTAGTAGGGAGAGGGAAGACCCAACACAAAAATCAGAGCCTCTCCATAGCTGGAATGTGAGATAATGAGGGTTAGAATGATGACTGTGACAAGAGAAATTGGCAGAACATGATGACAAATTTGATAGTGAGAATAAAGGAGAGGATTAAATAATAGGTTACAAAAGAAAAGAAGCTGTGTGGGGCTGTCTCTAATCTATTGAGGTGAATATCTTGAAGGGCAACCTGACAGACACTGCCACTGTTAAGAGCCCAAGTCTGCCTGGGAAGAAAGATGGGTCTAATCTAGTGTGCCTTTTCTTCTGTTCTTTAACTTGAATGTGATGCAGTATGAATGCTGAGGCATGTGGCTCAGGCAATTCACAGAGGTTTCGCCCGAGAAGCCAGCTGGCTGCCAACACACAGTACAGAGTGACATTCATTTGTGGTGAATTGGACACAGCGATGGGTCTGGCTTTAACCCTGTTGGCAAGATGAGTTTTTCTCTCTCCCCCATTTCCTTTCCCAGGACCACGGCACACACCCAACTGCCCTCTGGGGTCAGGCGTGCACTAAGTGAGGATAACAGAAAGGGGTCTTTTTGTCATGCCAGACCAAAAGAGCTGTAAACTGTCTGTAGCTCTATCACAGGGGGCTGGTGGGGGGTGGTGGGGGAAGAAAAGAAAAAAAGATGGAGTGGCATGATTGACAACAACTTCAAGCCAAGGAGGGGAAGAGATAAGATCAGAGACTGGGAACAGAGCGGTTTAATAGGCTGAGAGGTGGTAGGGAACAAGGAGCATTTGATAAATGAGAGCGGCTCCCCAGGGCACTGGGAGAGCGGGGACGGTGTGGGTGGCCCTGGAAATTGCAGACAAAGGCCAGGCAGGGGTGGAGCTCTAGGGAGGGTAGACACTGTTGGGATCAGAGCAGGAAGTTACTGTTCTGAACATTCTTCTGTATGTGAGACTGATCAGCTCCACTTTCATTTGCACCGTGAGAAACTGCTTTTCAGGAGAGACCTGTAGTAACCAAAGCCACAGAAATAAAAATGTAAGCGTAATGCCAATGTATTGATTTTGTAATGAGAAAGAGCTGTCAACAGAGCAGAGTGCTCATGTCAGCAGATCTGTCAATTATCTCCCTGCAGGCAAGCCACAAGGGATGCCAAATTATGGCCAGAAGGTTGTAGATAAGCTCAGAACCAGAACAAGGGTAGCAGCTACATAATTCACGGCAGGGATGCAACCTGCACAGAGATCAGCTATCTTCTGGACAGTATTTAGGTGACCCCAGCAACTTTTGCAACTTTAAATTTTCCCTTTTTATTGTCTAGGCCACTGAAAACAACCTGCATCTAAATTTACTGGGGAATTTAAATATTCAGATTCCAAGGTATCATTCCAAACTTTTCAGAATCAAAATCTCAAGGGAGAAGCCCTAGAATCTACATTTTTCATAAACTTTACAGAATTTATGAAGGCTAACTGTAGTTCTAGGCTAACCATTCACTTTCTTTTCAGTCTTTTCTCAAGTGGAGTACATTTGATTCATGAGTTTTGTCCAGTTGAACTAACTCTATGAGGTCTGGGGAGATAATAGCGCATTCCTTCTTCTCTTTGGTTCTAATCCATTAAATGATAAATACTAAAAGGTAAATGAGAATCTAAGTGTCAGTTGTTGGTTTGTTTGTTTGTCCGTTTAGTGTTTTGGTTGAGATGGGGTCTTACTATGTTGCCCAGGCTGGTCTTGAACTCCTGGGCTCAAGGTCTTCTCCAGCCTCAGCCTTATCAAAGTACTGGGATTACAGGTGTGAGCCATTGTGCCTGGCCTAAGTGTCAGTTTTATTTAGTAGTCACTGGTCATGCTTAGATTGACAAATGGGCTGAGGCCTCTCAGCTCTCTGTTAGGAGTTAGATCTTGGGGCTTTTGCAGGCCTGAAGCTGGAGAATGGTAGAGAGGCCCTGCCAGGGGGGATTTTTTGCACAGAGAGTGGAGATAGGGCCAGTTACCTACGCATAGGTCCAGAGGAAGTGAGAGATAAAATGCCAAAGCTATGGTGGAATGTGGAAACACTGCCTTGTAGACAGGTGTGACCTTGTGACTTCCTCTTCCTTGTTTGCTGTCCCCAAGAGGGGCCAGTGCTGATAGAGTTCCCCTATAGAATCCCATGGAAATTCTACTTCCTGGAGCTACTCTAAATTGGATTCCACTTGACTTCTCCATTAATTTTAGACCTTACATAGTTTGGATATTTGTCCCTGCCACAATCTCATGTTGAGCTGTAATCCCCAGTGCTGGAATTGGGGCCTAGTAGGAGATGTTTGGATCATGGGTTGTGGATCCCTCATGGTTTGGTGCGGTCTTCATGATAGCAACTGAGTTCTCATGCGATATGGTCATTTAAAGGTTTTGGCACCTCTCCCCCTCCTCTCACTTGCCCCTGCTTTCACCATGTGAATTTCCTGCCTGTGCTTTGCCTTCTGCCGTGATGAAAAGCTCTCTGAGGCTTCACCAGAAGTTGAGCAAATGCCAGCACCATGCTTCCTGTAAAGCCTGCAGAACCATATGTCAATTAAACCTCTTTCTTTTTTTAATTGCCCAGTCTCAGGTTTTTCTTTAGCAATGCAAGAACAGCCTAATACAAGACCTCGCTTCTCCAGCCCAGTTTTTGGCTTAGCTCTTTCCTCCAGCTCAGTTTCTCCCATTGTCTTGAGTGAGGACTCCTGTTTCTCTTCTGCCATCAAGGAAGTATACTCAGGCTCTGACCCTTCAGCCACCCCTCTAGGAAGACCACTAGTAATGGTTGGTGGGGGGTGGGGGGTTGGGGGGCAGTGGGGAGCTGGGCACAGGCTGGACCTTGTTCTCAGTCACCTCTTCTTGGCCTCCTTCTGAAGCTACCTTCCCGATGATGGAGAGTTGGAGAACGATTCTTCAGTTAAGGGAAGAGGGCGACTTGTACTTGCTCCCTAGACTCTTCAAAAAGCTCTGTCAGTGGTTTTGCCACAACATTCAAAGTGAGCCTCAGGAAGACAGGGCCTAAATCAGCCTGAAAGGGTCAGGATTGTTCTCCACAGATGCTCTTCATGATGGAGTAGGAGCAGAGCTGCCCAGTGTGCTTGTGCAGCTTGTGGGGCAGCCCGCTGTAGGAACTCACTGGTCAGTGGGGAGAAGGATGCAGTGTTCCTGAAATAGAAGGGCATGTTTAGGAAACTGCAAAGACTTAGATAGAGCAAAAGCCAGGAAACAAGTGGTGTGAGTCAAAGTCAAAATGTGGACAGGGGTTGCATTCTGATGGACATTCTGTTATCCCAAGCTAGAAAGTTTGGGTTTCATCCTGTGGTCAGTGGTCTCCAAAGTGGTTCTGTCCAACCCTCACTGGGGATGTGCAAGCTGAACTACTGGGGTGTGGAAAGAAAACCTAAATGCAATTACATTCATTTGAACGAAATCAATTTTACTGTGGTATCTTGTGTTATCTGTTTCATCTAAAAAAAGTAGAAATAAAAGAAACATTCCTAAACTAAAATGTATAGATTGGCCATGGCCCTCTCACTTAGTCCATCTGTCCAATATGTCACATATAGACCAAGAAGTATCATGAGTGAAGAGTGAGGGTTGGAGCTCTGTAACCCAGAGCTCTCATTAGTTCCTTTGGTCTTTGTTTGCTTTCAGCATATAGCACATATTAAAATTTATATTGCCTGGTTAAATGGACTTACTGATTATATTCTGTCTAAACTAACTTTAAAAAATGGGTACATGGCTTAATATAATGTTGCAAAGAAATTACAGATTACTAAAAAGCTTTTTTTTTTTTTTTTGCAAAATGGGCTGAGATACAAATAGCTCACAGCAAATAGCTTTTAACTATATGAAAAGATATTCAGTCTGGCTCACAGCAATAAATGCAAATTAAAACCACACAAAGATACCACTTCCCACCTATCAGATTGGCAAAAATCCAGCAGTTTGACTCAGTACTCTGCTGGTAAGGTTGTGGGGGAAGCCAGCACTCATACTTTGCAGGGGGAAATGAAAAAAGGTACTGTCTCTATGGAGAGGATTTTACATTATCTAGTATAAGCAGATAAACCTGAAATATTTTGTCAAACCAGATAGAAGGGAAACTATCAAAGACTACTGGGGCCATGTCAAAAGGGTGGAGGAGTCATCTTGAATAAGCTCCACTGATCAGAGATAGGACAAATCAAACATTAACAAGAATCATAAGTGCAATGGATTGAAATACATGAAATATGTTTAAATCCATGAGTTCATAGTGATACAAAAAAATCTTTGGTTACATTTGGAGAATGATAGGGGAAAATCACTATTTTGAAAAATGGTAAATGAAAGGGAAAAATAAGCAGTTATCCCCCTTTTCTTATAAAATTCCTATTCCTTGCGAAAAAATACTTGCAATTAAGAAGTATGTTTATAGAATATTTAGTCTACTAAGTGAAGAAGGCATGATAGAATTATAATATAATCATGAAGAGAAGGTTGTCTTTTTACATGTATTCTAGCTAAGAAATGAAGAAAAAAAGATAGAATTAAACACGGATTACAGAAATAAACATCATAATGAATCAGTGAATTTATGCAATGATCATCCAAGGCTACTAGTATCACCAACTGTGCATACTGGTAGAGTTACACACCACCCATGAAGTAATTTGATTAAAAAGAAAGAACTTGAATTTGATCAAATGTCTATATATGATTACCAATTCATGGGAAACATAGGTGACAGAGGAATCTGTTAAATGACACCTAACCCCTGAGCAAAATGCAAGTGGTGAAAAACTCAATAGGATAAATAGTTGTTTCCTTAACACATAAATTGCAGAGAAAGAGAGAGCTAGAGGAGCCTACAAATTAAAAGATACTTAAGTAAGAGATGACCAACCACAATATATGCACATTATTTGGATGCTGATTGACTTAGTCCATTTTCTGCTGCTATAATAGAATATCACAGACTGGGTAATTTATAAAGAACAGAAGTTTATTTGGCTCATGGTTCTGGAGGCTGGGAAGTCCAAGAGCATGGCACTAGCATCTGGCAACAGTCATCTCATGGCAGAAGGTGGAAAGGCAAACAAGCATGCAAGACAGAGACAGTAAGTGAGCTGAACTCCATTCTTTTATCAGGAGCCACTCCCATGATAAGCAGCACATTTCTGCAGTAAAGGCATTAATCCATTTATGAGAGTGGAGCCTTCATGACAATTTACCTGTTAAAAGTCTCATCTCTTAATACTATCACAGTGGCAATTAAATTTTAACATGAGTTTTGAAAGGTACCATATCAGTGATTCAAATAAACACAAAAACCAAAAAGTTGGAATTAATCAAAAAAGTTTGAGGACTGATTGCATATTCATGGTATTAAGAAGTTATTGTTATGTTTTTGGGTGGGATAATGAAGCAGTAGTTTGTTTTATGGGTATACACACTGAAAGAATTATAGATAAAATAATATAATACCTGGGATTCACTTCAGGATAATCCAAGGTGAGAGAGGGCACTGTGAGAAGTAGGTTGGAGTATAGATAAGACAAAATAGGCTGTGAACTGACAATTATTGAAAATGAGTAAGGGGCACATCAGGTTGATTTTGTGATCTCTACTTCTGTGTGCAAATGAATTTTCCTATAATTAAAATAGATTTCTGCAAACAAAACACAGATTGAAGATAGTAAAATAACACAAATACCAAGAACAAGAAAATGACAGAGCTGACATATGTACTCTTATATAAGTTATTTGTCAGCCATCTAACAAGGTAAAGACTACAGCTTAATTAGAGGTGACACAAAGCTAGGGGAAATCATCTAAATTAACAAGAGCATTTGAAATATTTTTAAGGATGAACCCTGCAATTGTGTCTTAAGACATCAGCTAATAATAATACGACAACTTACTGATTAAAAGCATATTGAAAACTAAAACTCTAAAACTATTCAAGCACTTCTATCCCTGGCCATGATGGAGGGCCAGGGATTGGACTTATTCTCCTGAGTGAAATGACCAAAAAACAGGCAAAATATATAAATCAGTGACTTTCAAACACTGAACAACAGGCAATGCAAGACAGTCATCCCTAGAAGAAGAGAAACAAATAAGGTGAGCCCTATAATTATCCCAACTTACGGCTTAGAGACAGTTTTTGGGCCACTGAACAGAAAGGACATCCCAAATAGAGCCTGCAGACACCCTGCATTCAGGAGATGTAGTTGAGATTCCAGAAAGACCAGTGTGGCTAGATTTCACAGGGCAAAGTCCTGAAGAAGAGCTTTACAGAATCAGACCTCTGAAAATCTGTAGAGGAGTCCTTCCACCTTTGACTGAGAATTTATCAGGACATGTGTGTGAGGAAACTACCAGAAGCCACCAGAAAGAAGAGAAAACAATTCTTGGACCTCCCATAGGGCTTGAAATAGTTTTCTTTCCCCCACACTGGGATAGAGAAATCTCTGAATACACAGAGCATCAGGTAGAGCACTCAGAAGGGTATTGTCTCAGTAGTGGAACCAAAATAGCTGTAGACCATGGTTTCTCATTCTTGGCACTATTGACATTTTGGGTCAATAATTATTTGTTGTGGGGTGCTGTCCTGTGCATTATAGGATGTGTAGCAGTATCTTTAGCCTCCACCCACTAGATGCCAGTAGCACTCCCCTTACCTCCCACCAGTTGTAACAACTGAAAGTGTCTCCATACACTGCAAAATGTTGCCTCTGGTTGAGATTAATTACTGAGACTAAAGCCTGCTCTAGTCCTACCTAACAGAGCTTAAAAGCAAGGCACAAAAGGATTAAACTGTTTCTAAGAAACTCAACAGTATCCCAGAAAAAAGTTTAGAAAAGAACACAAAACAATCTAGCATGCCAAAATATAAAATTCACCATACTTGGCATCCAATAAAAAAATTCCGTACATGCAAGAAGCAGAAAAGACAATCTACAATGAGGAGGAAAATCAATTAATTAGAAACAGACTCAGAAATAACACAGATGATTAGATTAAGAGAGAAGGATGTTAAAATATACACGATTAATACATTCTATTTGTTCAAGTAAATAGTAATATGAGCAGTTTTAAGAGACACATAGATGATATGAAAATGATGCACAGTGAACTTCTAAAGATGAAAAATACAATATCTAACATGACAAGTACACTAGATGGGATTAATAGCAGATTAGGTGCTTCAGAAGAAAAAAAATAGTGAACTTGAAATTTTAGAATGAAAACCATACCATTAAAACATTGAAGAGTATCGGCCAGGCACAATGGCTCATGCTTGTAATCCCAGCACCTTGGGAGGCCAAGGTGGGTGGATCATGAGGTTAGGAGATCGAGACCATCCTGGCCAACATGGTGAAACACTGTCTCTACTAAAAATACAAAAATTAGCTGAGCATGGTGGCGCGTGCCTGTAACACCAGCTACTTGGGGGGCTGAGGCAGGAAAATCGCTTGAACCAGGGAGTCTGAGGTTGCAGTGAGCCAAGATCATGCCACTGACTCCAGCCTGGTGACAGAATGAGACTCCATCTCAAACAAACAAACAAACAAAAACATTAAAGAGTATCAGAGAGTTTTGGAACAGCTTCAACTGACTTACCATATACATTATTAGAGTTTTGAAGAAGAAGAAAGGCTGAGGGTAAACATTTTTGAAGAAATAATGACTGAAAATTTTCCAAATTTGATGAAAACTAAATATCTAGAGATCCAAGAATCTCAATGAACCATAAGAAAATGAAAGTTGAAAAATACCACACCAAGGGACACTCTAATCCAGTCAATTAAAACAAGTGATAAAGAGAAAAGTCTTAAAACAAAGAGCAAGAGTAAAAACACACATTAAATAAAGAAGAACAAAAGCAAGAATGACAGCAGATTTCTTGTTGGAAATAAAGCAAGTAAAAAAAGGCAATGGAATAACATCTTTAAAGTACTGAAAGAAGAAAACTCTGTCAACTTAGAATTCTATACTCAGCAAAAAGATTTTAAAAGTGAAAGTAAAATAAAGACTTTTTGCAGGCATAAAAAAAAAACTGAAAAAAATTACCAGCAGTAGACCAGCACTACAAGAAATCTTAAAAGAATTCTTTCAAGGTAGAAGGAAAATAAAACCAGATGGAAGTCTAGATCTACCCAAAGGAACAAAGAGCACCTAAAATGGTAATTATGTGGGTAGTGCAAAAGGCGTTTTTCTTATTTTAAAATCTCTTTTAAAAGATCAAGATATTATTTTATGAGCCAAAAGCTTCTTTTTCCAAAATCACTTTAAGATAACATTATTTTATTTCACAATTAGCTCATTCTTTAAACATTTCTGTTTTTATGTTTTATTATGTATCACTATTTCATTCTGGTTATCCATGCACATTATTTATCAACAGAAAAAACACAGGAGTTGCACGTTCATCTTTTTTTATGACAAGGATAAATAACCAGATAAATAATCAAAGTCTTGGAGATGACTGCTGTGGCCTATAAAGACAATAGGAGTGTCTTGAATAGTGACATAATATTATTTTATTATTTAATTTGGCTCTTAGAAAAAAATCACTGGGGTTAACAGTATACACAATTACTTGAAATCGTCTATATATTGGGGAACTTGAAATGAGATTAAACTGTTGTGCTGAATGTGAGCTCTCAAAATCTGAGGTCATTCAAGAACCTTAAGCTGGCTATACAATATTAGATTTTGGTGACAAAGTAAAGCAAAAAGACATGTGTCTTATCCTGGATAATTATTTCTGATTGTCCACAACAAAGATAAGCCTTTGAACTATTGAGGATTTTTAACCACCTTAGAAATGAACTAGTGCTCACTTTATGGATTTGGAAACTGAAGCCCACTGAGATGAAGTTACTTGCCTAAAATCACACTGTAGTTTAATTGGATTGCAGTTGGCAATCATTCACCCTATGTAGTAGTCTGTGAGGATACTGACACACATGAATTTCTTTTTTTTATTATACTTTAAGTTTTAGGGTACATGTGCACAACATGCAGGTTTGTTACATATGTATACATGTGCCATGTTGGTGTGCTGCACCCATTAACTCATTTACATTAGGTATATCTCCTGATGCTATCCCTCCCCCTCCACCCACCCCACAACAGGCCCCGGTGTGTGATGTTCCCCTTCCTGTGTCCAAGTGTTCTCATTGTTCAATTCCCACCTATGAGTGAGAACATGCGGTGTTTGGTTTTTTTGTCCTAACGATAGTTTGCTGAGAATGATGGTTTCCAGCTCCATTCATGTCCCTACAAAGGACATGAACTCATCATTTTTTATGGCTGCATAGTATTCCATGGTGTATATGTGCCACATTTTCTTAATCCAATCTATCATTGTTGGACATTTGGGTTGGTTCCAAGTCTTTGCTATTGTGAATAGTGCCACAATAAACATACGTGTGCACATGTCTTTATAGCAGCATGATTTATAATCCTTTGGGTATATACCCAGTAATGGGATGGCTGGGTCAAATGGTATTTCTAGTTCTAGATCCTTGAGGAATTGCCACACTGACTTCCACAATGGTTGAACTAGTTTACAGTCTCACCAACAGTGTAAAACTGTTCCTTTTTCTCCACATCCTCTCCAGCACCTGTTGTTTCCTGACTTTTTAATGATCGCCATTCTAACTGGTGTGAGATGATATCTCATTGTGGTTTTGATTTGCATTTCTCCGATAGCCAGTGATGGTGAGCATTTTTACATGTGTTTTTTGGCTGCATAAATGTCTTCTTTTGAGAAGTGTCTGTTCATGTCCTTTGCCCACTTTTTGATGGGGTTGTTTGTTTTTTTCTTGTAAATTTGTTTGAGTTCATTGTAGATTCTGGATATTAGCCCTTTGTCAGATGAGTAGGTTGTGAAAATTTTCTCCCATTTTGTAGGTTGCCTGTTCACTCTGATGGTAGTTTCTTTTGCTGTGCAGACGCTCTTTAGTTTAATTAGATCCCATTTGTCAATTTTGGCTTTTGTTGCCATTGCTTTTGGTGTTTTAGACATGAAGTCCTTGCCCATGCCTATGTCCTGAATGGTACTGCCTAGGTTTTCTTCTAGGGTTTTTATGGTTTTAGGTCTAACGTTTAAGTCTTTAATCCATCTTGAATTGATTTTTGTATAAGGTGTAAGGAAGGGATCCAGTTTCAACTTTCTACATATGGCTAGCCAGTTTTCCCAGCACCATTTATTAAATAGGGAATCCTTTCCCCATTGCTTGTTTTTCTCAGGTTTGTCAAAGATCAGATAGTTGTAGATATGTGGCATTATTTCCGAGGGCTCTGTTCTGTTCCATTGATCTATATCTCTGTTTTGGTACCAGTACCATGCTGTTTTTGTTACTGTAGCCTTGTAGTATAGTTTGAAGTCAGGTAGCGTGATGCCTCCAGCTTTGTTCTTTTGGCTTAGGATTGACTTAGCGATGCGGGCTGTTTTTTGGTTCCATATGAACTTTAAAGTAGTTTTTTCCAATTCTGTGAAGAAAGTCATTGGTAGCTTGATGGGGATGGCATTGAATCTATAAATTACCTTGGGCAGTATGGCCATTTTCATGATATTGATTCTTCCTACCCATGAGCATAGAATGTTCTTCCATTTCTTTGTATCCTCTTTTATTTCATTGAGCAATAGTTTGTAGTTCTCTTTGAAGAGGTCCTTCACATCCCTTGTAAGTTGGATTCCTAGGCATTTTATTCTCTTTGAAGCAATTGTGAATGGGAGTTCACTCATGATTTGGCTCTCTGTTTTTCTGTTATTGGTGTATAAGAATGCTTGTGATTTTTGCACATTGATTTTGTATCCTGAGACTTTGCTGAAGTTGCTTAGCAGCTTAAGAGGATTTGGGGCTGAAATGATGGGGTTTTCTAGATATAAAATCATGTCATCTGCAAACAGGGACAATTTGCCTTCCTCTTTTCCTAATCGAATACCCTTTATTTCCTTCTCCTGCCTGATTGCCCTGGCCAGAACTTCCAACACTATGTTGAATAGGAGTGGTGAGAGAGGGCATCCCTGTCTTGTGCCAGTTGTCAAAGGGAATACTTCCAGTTTTTCCCATTCGGTATGATATTGGCTGTGGGTTTATCATAAATAGCTCTATTATTTTGAGATACATCCCATCAATACCTAATTTATTTAGAGTTTTTAGCATGAAGGGCTGTTGAATTTTGTCAAAGGCCTTTCAAAAAATCAACGAATCCAGGAGCTGGTTTTTTGAAAAGATCAACAAAATTGATAGACCGCTAGCAAGACTAATGAAGAAAAGAGAGAAGAATCAAATAGATGCAATAAAAAATGATAAAGGGGATATCACCACTGATCCCACAGAAATACAAACTACCATCAGAGAATACTATAAAAACCTCTACGCAAATAAACTAGAAAATCTAGAAGAAATGGATAAATTCCTGGACACATACACCCTTCCAAGACTAAACCAGGAAGAAGCTGAATCTCTGAATAGACCAATAACAGGCTCTGAAATTAAGGCAATAATTAGTAGCTTACCAACCAAAAAAAGTCCAGGACCAGACGGATTCACAGCCGAATTCTACCGGAGGTACAAGGAGGAGCTGGTACCATTCTTTCTGAAACTATTCCAATCAATAGAAAAAGAGGGAATCCTCTCTAACTCATTTTATGAGGCCAGCGTCATCCTGATACCAAAGCCTGGCAGAGACACAACCAAAAAAGAGAATTTTAGACCAATATCCCTGATGAACGTCAATGCAAAAATCCTCAATAAAATACTGGCAAACCAAATCCAGCAGCACATCAAAAAGCTTATCCACCATGATCAAGTGGGCTTCATCCCTGGGATGCAAGGCTGGTTCAACATACGCAAATCAATAAACGTAATCCAGCATATAACCAGAACCAACGACAAAAACCACATGATTATCTCAATAGATGCACATGAATTTCTAGTAGCAAAATGACTCTTGGTTGTGATATCCTCAGGGTACCTTGTCTGCTGTGCAAAATATTGGTCACTAGGTGGCAATCCAGATGACAGCACCACCAGATCCTATGATTTCTCCAGTTTTGCATATCCATTTAAAGCAAGCTAATACTATTCGCTCTTTGTTTGCATAAAATAAAGGAATTGCCTAAAAATTTACCTGGCTGTGACAGAATTAAATAAACATGATATTCAAGGATTGATAACAAACAGAAAAAATACTTGTAAACACATTTAGGAAGGAATGTTGGTTTGTTTTCTACAGTGGCATCCTTTTTGCAAAAATTAAACAGTTTAAAATTCAGACTACTCATAGACGTCACATAGAATCATCCAATTTCCCCATTTAGCACAGTTATAGGTGTTTACCTTGAACTGGCCTACTTACCACAGGAAGAGTTTTCCAGGTCCATTCTACCTTAAAAACGTCTCATAAATCTGTCACCTCCTCACCATCTCTACTGCTGATTCCCAGTCCAACTCTTACTATTGCTCTCCTGGATTCATACACATCCTCCTAATTTGGCTTCCTGCTTTCATTCTTAACCCATTTCAAACTCATTTCCCACACTGTTGTCTAAGTAGTCTTTTGAAAATATGAATCTGGTCAAGTTAGTCCCCTGCTGAAAATGCTTAATAGGGATTTCTGGGTTATTCACCACCAAGAAAATTCAAAAAGTGACTCTCATAAGTTACTAACACTATCAGTTTATCAACTAATATTATTTGGAATGACGCTAAGAGGCAGAAGCATGGGGCTACACCCCTTGCTTCATAGACAGGAGCATTTGACCCTGGGACAAGAGTGTTGTGGGGGAATGGGGGTGTGAGGATGGGTGGGTGACTGTGGGGAGAGAGAGAGAGGGAGACATCACCCCTATTATACAAGAACTACTTTCAGGCTACCAGACTCATGTACATTCTCCCTTCTCCCCACATAGAGCTGCAGTTTCTGATACTGTGAGATGGCTGGGAGCACTTATACTTGGCATGTGAAGTTGGTAGTTGCAAGGGACTGAATCTGAAAGAAGTGTTTCTGGAAGGGAAAGAAATATAGAGGGTTTCAAAGAATTCTGGAATATAGTCCACTTCTCATGGAAAGATAATCAGGCAAAAAGATCAAAAGACATCTCCCAAGGACTGCAAATTTATACCAAGTAAAAGGCATAAAAATTCAGAAAGTTATCTAGGACATAGCCTTCTAGGTTCTGAACAAAGAGGAGGATTTTGATGGTAACCATGTGAATGGTAAGGGAAACAAGGAGAAACTATAAGTTTCCCTGTTTGTGCACAAATGCTAGGACTCAATAGAACTTTCTTTTTTTTGACATGAGTAAACTTAAAACAAACACAACACACAAATGTTTCCTAGCTTGAAAGATGGTAACATAACACTCTAGAGGCTGAAAAGAACTAACTTTTGATAAAGACCTACTTCAAGGAACTAGTTAATTTTATAAATAATCTATTTTGTACTCTTAAAATGTGAAGAACGTGGACCTCCTTCCTTCTTTTTGAATAATTAGGGTAATAAATGAAACTGAAAAGGGAAAATGTTTTCATTTACTCTGATCTCCAGACCCTTGTAATAACACTATAGTTTGGCAGTCTGTACAGACCAGATGCTGATAGACACTCAGTCTCTTCAGCTATATTCAGAAAATGACAGAAGAACACACAGCTGAGTGTAACAATGACATTCATATTTGAACAAAGTTTTCTGTGTAAATCTTTTCCTAAATAGAATTGGCAATTAGAAATCATATAAAAATCACATAAGTACTAGTAACAGAAGAATGGAAGGAAAGAAAGAAAATAATAACTATCATCATTTAGCATATAAGACAAAGGAAAATACCAGAAATGATTGTTGAAAGCTTCTAAATGTCAAGAAGTGGAATAAAATGTGAATCACAAATCCCACTGTAATTTTATTAATAATGCACAGTCACAGATTAGTTCGTAGTTCTTTGGCTTTTTTTTTTTTTTTTTTTTGTAACTTTACTTCCTGGGAAGGAGCAAGAAAGAAATCCTCATGACACTCGTGCTTTAGCCAAAAGTAAGAATCCCAGAACTAAATTCTGTTCTTTATCCTGCCATTAACCTATATAACCTTTTGAGGCCAGATTTTTTATTATTTCACTAGGACAGGGGTAGGGTAGGGGCTGGATTTGCCTAGAGTGGTGACATGTTAGTGCTAACATCTAAAAAGATGTTAATGCCTGGTTCTTGTGAGTATTCATGACTTAGGCTTAGTGGTGAAGTTAATCTCATAGACCAGCAGGATGTCCTTGGTACTCACAATTCTGAAAATTTCCTGTCTATAGACTTGTTTAAATTCAACACTGAATGCTTCCTTTGGCCGGTCTAACTTTACTGTTACAATACTACCATATACGTTGCCATGTCCCCAGTACAGTAGTTGGATTGCCAACTTCCCAACATTCAGTCACATGGCTGAGTGTTGGAGGACTGGGTGTCCTATAGAGTGATATTAACACATAAATATAAATAGATGACAGTCTATTTAAAGCACAGTAGATTACCAAGAAAATATCCAAACATATAAACTAAATCTGTCTATCTAATCTGTTGTTACCAATGACCTGAATAGGTTTATAGTGGGTCTAGAAAGTTTCAACAAGAAACTATTGGATCCCACTTAAGTTTTCAACACCCATAATTCATGACGTGTAAACAGCATGCTGCCTTATCAGTAGTCACTAGATGAGAAGCTTTGTCTTCAAATAGGATATGGTGTTTTGATTCTCATCAGGAGGACTAAATTTCAGTAGCAGCTTGTTTCTAAAAGTACCCTGTACTTGAGTTGTCTAAATCTGTCCCTGTTATATTACAGGGAGCAAAGGGGGTGGGGGTGGGGTGACTCAGGCATACAGGAATAGGAAAGAACAGTGACTTCTTAGAAATGAAAACTTGAAATAAAATCCTTTGAGTCAACAGGGAAGACATTACAATTGTGTGCATTTACACATATGCAAATCTATATTTAGAGATATGATTCACAGCCAGGAAGAATAGAGACTTTAAATTCATATCTTACAAGATGCCTTCTTTTCCAGTTCTTCATGTATCAATATGAGAAAATAGGTGCTTTTGTTCCTTGTGACGTTATAAATTATGCCAACATTATCCTTCACAGTCTCTAGTAAGTTACAGAATCTCAAGATTTTGGTCCAAAGTACATTCATAAAGTAACTCTGGATTTACAAATTCATCACATCTTGAATGCAACAATGATGTTTTACACATTGACATCTTACAATGTACAAGTTCCTGTCTACATTGGAAGTCTGCAATTGATTTTGTTTTCCTAAGATGACTCATCCATATCCCAAAGGTGTTAATTTCACCAGATCCTTTGTGAATGGTTCTCATTCTGAGTCTGTTTGGAATCTGTAGGGAATGAACTCAACCTAAGGAAAGCCAAAGAGGCCATACCCAGGACACTGGACTTGTTTAGGTCATAACTAAAAAGTGGAGCATATGTAGGGTCATTGAAGGAGTTCAGAACTCACTGCAGAGCTGACTAAGGCAAAAGACTGGATTGAACTTAGCCTGGACTTAAAAAAGCCCTGGATTCTGCTTTAGGCATATTGTTACCTATGCCTTCTCAGGTTCTTTTGGCCAAGAACCAATCAACCAGTGACTGGCTTATACACCCATGAAATCTCTAAATCAGTGTATATCTCAGGATAGCCCTATGCTTACCACCACATTATTATTATTATTATTATTATTTCATTGTTATGAGTTCTTTTTTTAAACTATACTTTAAGTTCTAGGGTACAACCTGCAGGTTTGTTACATATGTATACATGTGCCATGTTGGTGTGCTGCACCCATTAACTCGTCATTTACATTAGATATATCTCCTGATGCTATCCCTCCCCCTCCCCCCACCCCACGACAGGCCCTGGTGTGTGATGTTCCCCTTCCTGTGTCCAAGTGTTCCCATTGTTCAATTCCCACCTGTGAGTGAGAACATGCGGTGTTTGGTTTTTTGTCTTTGCGATAGTTTGCTGAGAATGATGGCTTCCAGCTTCATCCATGTCCCTAAAAAGGACATGAACTCATCCTTTTTTATGGCTGCATAGTATTCCATGCTGTGTATGTGCCACATATTCTTAATCCAGTCTATCATTGGTGGACATTTGGGTTGGTTCCAAGTCTTTGCTATTGTGAATAGTGCCACAATAAACATATGTGTGCATGTGTCTTTAAGCAGCATGATTTATAATCCTTTGGGTATATACCCAGTAATGGGATGGCTGGGTCAAATGGTATTTCTAGTTCTAGATCCTTGAGGAATCGCCACACTGTCTTCCACAATGGTTGAACTAGTTTACAGTCCCACCAACAGTGTAAAAGTGTTCCTATTTCTCCACATCCTCTCCAGCACCTGTTGTTTCCTGACTTTTTAATGATCGCCATTCTAACTGGGTGTGAGATAGTATCTCATTGTGGTTTTGATTTGCATTTCTCTGATGGCCAGTGATGGTGAGCACTTTTTCATGTGTCTGTTGGCTGCATAAATGTCTTCTTTTGAGAAGTGTCTGTTCATATCCTTCACCCACTTGTTGATGGGATTGTTTGTTTTTTTCTTGTAAATGTGTTTGCGTTCTTTGTAGATTCTGGATATGAGCCCTTTGTCAGATGAGTAGATTGCAAAAATGTTCTCCCATTCTGTAGGTTGCCTGTTCACTCTGATGGTAGTTTCTTTTGCTGTGCAGAAGCTCTTTAGTTTAATTATATCCCATTTGTCAATTTTGGCTTTTGTTGCCATTGCTTTTGGTGTTTTAGACATGAAGTCCTTGCCCATGCCTATGTCCTGAATGGTATTGCCTAGATTTTCTTCTAGGGTTTTTATGGTTTTAAGTCTAACATGCAAGTCTTTAATCCATCTTGAATTAATTTTTGTATAAGGTGTAAGGAAGGGATCCAGTTTCAGCTTTCTACATATGGCTAGCCAGTTTTCCCAGCACCATTTATTAAATAGGGAATCCTTTCCGCATTTCTTGTTTTTCTCAGGTTTGTCAAAGATCAGATGGTTGTAGATGTGTGGTATTATTTCCGAGGGCTCTGTTCTGTTCCATTGGTCTGTATCTCTGTTTTGGTACCAGTACCATGCTGTTTTGGTTACTGTAGCCTTGTAGTATAGTTTGAAGTCAGGTAGCGTGATGCCTCCAGCTTTGTTCTTTTGGCTTAGGATTGACTTAGCAATGTGGGCTCTTTTTTGTTTCCATATGAACTTTAAAGTAGTTTTTTCCAATTCTGTGAAGAAAGTCATTGGTAGTTTGATGGGATGGCATAGAATCTATAAATAACCTTGGGCAGTATGGCCATTTTCACAATATTGGTTCTTCCTATCCATGAGCATGGAATGTTCTTCCATTTGTTTGTATCCTCTTTTATTTCATTGAGCAGTGGTTTGTAGTTCTCCTTGTAGAGGTCCTTCACATCCCTTGTAAGTTGGATTCCTAGGTATTTTATTCTCTTTGAAGCAATTGTGAATGGGAGTTCACTCATGATTTGGCTCTCTGTTTGTCTGTTATTGGTGTATAAGAATGCTTGTGATTTTTGCACATTGATTTTGTGTCCTGAGACTTTGCTGAAGTTGCTTATCAGCTTAAGGAGATTTTGGGCTGAGATGATGGGGTTTTCTAAATATACAATCATGTCATCTGCAAACAGGGACAATTTGACTTCCTCTTTTCCTAATCAAATACCCTTTATTTCCTTCTCCTGCCTGATTGCCCTGGCCAGAACTTCCAACACTATGTTGAATAGGAGTGGTGAGAGAGGGCATCCCTGTCTTGTGCCAGTTTTCAAAAGGAATGCTTCCAGTTTTGGTCCATTCAGTATGATATTGGCTGTGGGTTTGTCATAAATAGCTCTTGTTATTTTGAGATACTTCCCATCAATACCTAATTTGTTGAGAGTTTTTAGCATGAAGGGCTATTGAATATTGTCAAAGGCCTTTTCTGCATCTATTGAGATAGTCATGTGGTTTTTGTCTTTGGTTCTGTTTATATGATAGATTACGTTTATTGATTTGCATATGTTGAACCAGGCTTGCATCCCAGGGATGAAGCCCACTTGATCATGGTGGATAAGCTTTTTGATGTGTGGCTCAATTTGGTTTGCCAGTATTTTATTGAGGATTTTTGCATCAATGTTCATCAAGGATATTGGTCTAAAATTCTCTTTTCTTTTGGTTATGTCTCTGCTAGGCTTTGGTATCAGGATGATGCTGGCCTCATAAAATGAGTTAGGGAGGATTCCCTCTTTTTCTGTTGATTGGAACAGTTTCAGAAGGAATGGTACCAGCTCCTCCTTGTATCTCTGGTAGAAATCGGCTGTGAATCTGTCTGGTCCTGGAGTTTTTTTGGTTGGTAGGCTATTAATTGTTGCCTCAATTTCAGAGCCTGTTATTGGTCTATTCAGAGATTCAACTTCTTCCTGGTTTAGTCTTGGGAGGGTGTATGTGTCCAGGAATTTATCCATTTCTTCTTGATCTTCTAGTTTATTTGCGTAGAGGTTTTTATAGTATTCTCTGATGGTAGTTTGTATTTCTGTAGGATCAGTGGTGATATCCCCTTTACCATTTTTTATTGAATCTATTTGATCCTTCTCTCTCTTCTTCTTTATTAGTCTTGCTAGCAGTCTATCAATTTTGTTGATCTTTTTAAAAAAACAGCTCCTGGATTCACTGATTTTTTTGAAGGGTTTTTTGTGTCTCCATCTCCTTCAGTTCTGCTCTGATGTTAGTTATTTCTTGCTTTCTGCTAGCTTTTGAATAAAATCCTTGAAAAAAGATTAGATGAATGGCTAACTAGAATAACCAGTGTAGAGAAGTCCTTAAATGACCTGATGGAGCCGAAACTATGGCATGAGAACTACGTGATGAATGCAGAAGCTTCAGTAGCCGATTCAATCAACTGGAAGAAAGGGTATCAGTGATGGAAGATGAAATGAATGAAATGAAGCGAGAAGGGAAGTTTAGAGAAAAAAGAGTAAAAAGAAATGAAGAAAGCCTCCAAGAAATATGGGACTATGTGAAAATACAAAATCTATATCTGATTGGTGTACCTGAAAGTGACGGGGAGAATGGAACCAAGTTGGAAAACACTCTGCAGGATATTATCCAGGAGAACTTCCCCAACCTAGCAAGGCAGGCCAACATTCAAATTCAGGAAATACAGAGAACACCACAAAGATACTCCTTGAGAAGAGCAATCCCAAGACACATAATTGTCAGGTTCACCAAGGTCGAAATGAAGCAAAAAATGTTAAGGGCAGCCAGAGAGAAAGGTCAGGTTACCCCCAGAGGGAAGCCCATCAGACTAACAGCATATCTCTCTGCAGAAACTCTACAAGCCAGAAGAGTGTGGGGGCCAATATTCAACATTCTTAAAGAAAAGAATTTTCAAACCAGAATTTCATATCCAGCCAAACTAAGCTTCCTAAGCGAAGGACAAATAAAATCCTTTACAGACAAGCAAATGCTGAGAGATTTTGTCACCACCAGGCTTGCCTTACAAGAGCTCCTGAAGGAAGCACTAAATATGGAAAGGAAAAACCGGCACCAGCCACTGCAAAAACATACCAAATTGTAAAGACCAATGACACTAGGAAGAAACTGCATCAACTAAGGAGCAAAACAACCAGCTAATATCCTAATGATAGGATCAAATTCACACATAACAATATTACCTTAAATGTAAATGGGTTAAATGCCCCAATTAAAAGACACAGACTGGCAAATTGGATAAAGAGTCAAGACCCATTGGTGTGCTGTATTCAGGAGACCCATCTCATGTGCAGAGACACACATAGGCTCAAAATAAAGGGATGGAGGAAGATCTACCAAGCAAATGGAAAAGAAAAAAAGGTAGGAGTTACAATCCTAGTCTCTGATAAAACAGACTTTAAACCAACAAAGATCAAAAGAGACAAAGGCGGCCATTACACAATGGTAAAGGGATCAATTCAACAAGAAGAGCTAACTATCCTAAATATATATGCACCCAATATAGGAGCACCCAGATTCATAAAGCAAGTCCTTAGAGACCTACGAAGAGACTTAGACTCCCACACAATATTAATGGGAGACTTTAACACTCCACTGTCAACATTAGACAGATCAGTGAGACAGAAAGTTAACAAGGATACCCAGGACTTGAACTCAGCTCTGCACCAAGCAGACCTAATAGACATCTACAGAACTCTCCACCCCAAATCAACAGAATATACATTCTTCTCAGCACCACATCACACTTATTCCAAAATTGACCACATAGTTGGAAGTAAAGCACTCCTCAGCAAATGTAAAAGAACAGAAATTATAACAAACTGTCTCTCAGACCACAGCACAATCAAACTAGAACTCAGGAGTAAGAAACTCATTCAAAACAGCTCAATTACATAGAAACTGAACAAGCTGCTCCTGAATGACTACTGGGTAAATAACAAAATGAAGGCAGAAATAAAGATGTTCTTTGAAACCGATGAGAACAAAGACACAACATACCAGAATCTCTGCAACACATTTAAAGCAGTGTGTAGAGGGAAATTTATAGCACTAAATGCCCACAAGAGAAAGCAGGAAAGATCTAAAATTGACACCCTAACGTCACAATTAAAAGAACCAGAGAAGCAAGAGCAAACACATTCAAAATGTTACCACCACATTATATCAGTTACAAATATGCATCATCATGGAAATTGTGGGATTACTTTGCAAAGGAAAAAAATCAAATAAATTAAAGACAAAAAACAAAAGGTAGGAATATGAGCAGTTAATAGAGTCCTAAATAATGGAATCTCGAGGGATTAGAGCACGACTAGTTATTCCTTATGATCAGGAACACACTGAGAAAGGATATCTGTAGTCAAGCTTCTAAGTTTGTAGGAGATATTAACTTGTTTGAGGGAATGAAATGTCAACCAGTGAAGATAATCACAAGCCTCACAAGAAAATTAGCAGCAGAGTGTCAGCAAGGGTGAATGTGAAGTGGAGTGTGAAGAAATATAATGATTCAAATTTTGATTATGAGCATGAACGTTAAACTATCAGATATGCTCACAGAAGTCCTAAAGTCACCCTGACCTAGTAAATAGCTTTACTATTTACTAATGAAGGCTGGCTGGTCATCTTTGGGAAGATCTCTGGAAGCAAACTGAAAAGAATATGATCTTGCCTGGTTTCAAAACCCCGATTCATCTGTATCTAGAAAAAAGGAAACATAAATGATCATTATGACAAGAAAAATCAATAGAACTAGAGCAGGTCCAAAGAAAGGCAATTGGAAAAATCCAGCAGATGGGGAAATATCTGGACAGTTTGAAAATTGTACTCTGATTTGGATATCTCAACACTAAAAAGATATTATTTTTGTCTATGAATCTGTTAGATAAACATTAAATACGGATAATGATTTGTTTCCAAATTCCTGGAATACCAGATACCACTTGAAATGCTACTAGTAACAACAATGACAATGATGACGATGATGATGACAATGACAACAATGATGACAGCACATAATTTTGTGCTTGATAAAGAATTCATACTTAGTGAATGCCTGTTGAATGACATGGGTCATTTTTTTTCATATTTCCTAATATCTCAGAAGCTAAGCTTCCAGGACCTCCCTCAGGGAAAAAGGAAGACTTTTCTGGACCTGTTTAGACTCACTTTGTCATCGAATCAAGTCTCCCAGTGCAGTAGGCAGCCATGTACTGCAGCCCAAGACATCCCAGTCCTCTCGTGTATTTAATGGTGTAGGATGGAGTTTGTTCCTTTGGGAAATGGGAGATTCACAGTTTGGTTATTGCAATTCAGGGTTCCCAGGAAGCAGATCCTGTGATTGAGATTGACATTCAGGAGATTTTGTAGGACCTTTTGATGTCAATGCCTATGGAAGGAAGGGAAAGTAAGCAGGATTGGGCCAAGGGAGAAGGTGATCTGTATTGCAGTCTCAACAGATGACTTAGCCAACTATACAGGGAGTTATGGAGACAGAGTAAAAGTACAGAGGTGTCTCAGGAGAAACTTTATTCACCATGTTAATCAGTCATTAGATGTGAGGCCCCTTGTGAAGGAGATGTGATCTTGGTAAGGTAATTTCCTTCAGCAGAGGCAATCCCCACAAAGGGCTAAAGGTGGAGTGCCAGTAGCAGTCCCAATATCTGGGGGGTAATTGGCCCTTCGTTCTCCAAGACAGACCTTGGCAGCATATCCCACTGTCCCCCATACTGGCCTCCCTCTTGACCTCCAGTTCCCATTTCTGATTTACATGGCTGAGCAGCAAGAGGCTACTACTAAGGCTCTGTTTAGTGAAAGACAATGGTTTAGTTGCCAAGTACAAGACCAGCCCTTGGGGAAATCAAGGAGCTGACAGATCTGCCATCAGTGGTCCTGGCTTCCCTTCCCAGACTCCTTTCTCCCTTTGCAATAGTTTTTCCTTTTCCTGCTCCTCCCTTCCTTGCCCGGTGCACTTCTTCTCACCTCCCCCTACCTCTACCATATATACCTTTCCAGTGGAAATAATTGGATAATTTCATTCACCCAAACTTGTCAATGACAGGACTAGATTTGCATTTCAATTCAAAACAGAGTCTTAGGCTAAAAGAGTGAAACCCTTTGCAACTTCAGGCTGTCTTGGGTGAGGAGAACACTTTCCTGAATCTTAAGAATGAAGTGGTATAGGGAGCCATCATTCCCTTGGAAAGTTAAGTGTGGTCCTGCAGAGAGCTTATAAAAATTGGTGTGGATGGGGCCAGCAAGAGAAAGGAGAAAAATAATCTTTTTGTGGAGGTTCTTGCCTGCCAGGCATGATTGACAACTGCTGACAAAAGCAAGAGCTGGATCCCTCAGAGCGGTTACTGCTGCTGTTTAGCAACTCAGGCTAAAGAATCAAAGCAGAGATTTTTCTATCCTGAACTAAGAATCTGTCCCTGGTCAACTGCAACCAACTGGTTAGAATAAATCCAAGTAGAGAGATGGAGAATCCAGACCTCTGTTAAAATGAGGATGGTGAACTAAAGATGGCATAGAACTAAAGACAGTTTACTAGTTTTCTTTCCCATCAATGATCCCAGCTGTTCTACCTGCCAGTATTCCACTTTTTACTGGTAAGAACCTTTGATACCCTAAAAGAGAACTTTAAAAAGGAAGAATCTTAGAAGATTTTATTGATACATTGCAACCCTCTGTTGTTTCAGGCTGGGCAACTTTCTCAAAGATCTTATGTACTCAAACATGTCGTAAAATTTGTGCCTTTACAGCTCCAACTAATCCTATCTTATTTGGGAAAACTCATCTGTCCCTTACATAGTTCTTAACTTATACCATCACCAACAAATTTGGTATTGTATTTTGAAATGTTACCTACGTTTTACGTATCAGTGGGTTGTTTCCTAGAAGAAGCATGTGTAAAACAAGTGAGTTACTGAAGGAGTAGATTTGAAAAAATATTTCCAGCTGGATTCACTGTCAATTCTGCTTCACATTGTACCTCTTTATTTTCAGTATAATTCTTCTGTACCACTAGTAATTTTTTTATATTCCATTTGAATGTAAATTCCATAAAGGCAGGGATTTTTTGTTTCTTTGTTCCTAGATGTATTCCTGCACTGAGAATGGTGCCTGGAACGTAGTTAGGGAATCAGCAAATATTTGTAAAATAAAATTAATATTTCCTGTTACCACCTAAAGGCTGGAAAATTCTCAAGCTGCCTTTTGGCTTCTCAGAACATCTTATTATATCGCATCAAAATGAAACTGTCTTTGCTCCAATCTCTCTATTTGCTGATAATGACCTAACTATTAGTTCTTTTGGTTTAGTATATTGGAAAGAGTCAACTAGGAGTTATGATTTTCAGGATTAATCAATAATTAGCTGGAGGAACATTGGGAAAGTCATGTAAATTTTCTGGGTCATTGTTTGTTCACCTGTAAAAGGTGGTTTAACGATGCCTTTATGTTGTAGGATTTTGAATTGGATCAAATGGCATAGCAAACAAAAAGTTTAATGGTTAAAAGCAAGAACTCTTGATCCAGACTCAAATCCTACCTTCTCCACTTTCTAATTGTATGACCTTAGGCAAGTTATTTAATCTTTATAAGCTTTAGTTTCCACATATGTGAAATGGAGATAATTATAGTACCCCTCCCATAGAATTACGGCGTAGATAAAAATAGTCAATATATGCAAAACACTTAAAACAGTGCCTGCCACATAAAAGTTCCCATAATGAATGTTAGGTATTATTACTATTAAATGTAAAACACTCTTGGAAAATTGTGAATTGCTGTACAAATGGAAGGTAATTAGATTGCCATTTTAACAGGTCATTGATGGCTCAAGCTAAAATGAATGACTAATGCTGAAATTTTAGGCCCTGTGATTAGCAAGGAATGAGCGATTTGGCATCTCTCAAATTGTACCTCATACTTGGCTATGTATTCTGCCTATTCGCAGAGCTCGCCTGTGGTGTCCATGTACAGGGAATTAACTGTTACATTTATTCACAGTGACTTTGCCTTTCTGAGTTCTGTTGTCATCTACCTGTGTTGATGTTGGATGACTCAATTAACTGAATTGATTCTGAGTTTTGTCACTTGCAAAATGGGAGCAATAACAGCTTACTGCCTCTTTCAGAGGGTTAGTGAGAGGCCCAAATAAGATATTCACTATTCAAATATGAGATAGAGTCATTCTTTTGCTGATTCTCCCTGACATTTTGATAGAACTTTAACTGTCCTGCTCTACAAAAATAGTGGGCTGTTCAAACACTTTTTCTATCTAGACTCCCCTTTCATCAAAGTTGAAAACAGACCCAGTAAGTGGTCCAAGAAGCTACAGCTCAGTTCAAATAAACTGTATGGGCAGGGGTAGTAGAGAAAGGCTTACTGACTAAACATTCAGGCTGAATGACCAATCTCAGAACAGTAGAGTGTTTGCAAATAGCCAAGTGGTCTAATTGGCTTAGTTCGGAAAGTTTAGTATATTAAACTCCTTACTGAATTAATGCATTTACATTCTTATATGGTCCATAAATATGAATTTTATAGGGTTTGGAAACTGGAGGTAGAATATGGAAGAGATTCAGGAAATGTCATTATTATTATTATTGAGATAGAGTCTCACTCTGTCACCCAGGCTGGAATGCAGTGGTGTGATCTTGGCTCACTGCAACCTATGCCTTCTGGGTTCAAGCTATTCTTGTGCTTCAGCTTCCCGAGTAGCTGGGACTATAGGAACGCACCACTATGCCCAGCTAATTTTTTGTATTTTTTTTTTTAGTAGAGATGGGGTTTCGCCATGTTGGCCAGGCTGGTCTTGAACTTCTGGCCTCAAGCAATCTGCCTGCCTCGGCCTCCCAAAGTGCTGGGATTACAGGGATGAGCCACTACGCCTGGCCTGTTTTTATTTTTGTTTCAAATCCTGGTGAACTTCTGCTTTTGGCTATGATGGAATAACTGGTATTGGATTGTTCCTCCTGTGGTAAGCAATCATAAGACTGGACAAAATGTGTGAAGGAACTATTGTCAAACATTGGAAAACAGGCAGTACAAACCATGATCCCTGAGAGAAACTCATGAGGCAAGTCCCACGCTGGTGCAGCTTTCTGCCTAGGGACATTTTCCCAGCCACGGTGCAGGGAGCTGTGATCTAAGCAAAGTATAGTAGTCCTGCTGAGCTGAGGAAACCTAGATCAGAGTTTGGGGTATCTGAAGTGCCGGAGTCTGCAAAGTAGGGCACCAGAGTCGAGAAGCAACACAGAATAGTGGGGAGGTCTTGAAGGGACTTCTCCCTAAGTTTTTGGCTGAGGATTGCAATCATGTATTCAGGGAAAGACTGCACAAGGCTTACCACGCAACTGTGAATAAGAGCAGAGAAAGTAAAGGTTGAGAAGAACTAAGTAATGCTGGAGATCCTCCGCAGCCACAGTGGAGGGACATCATTAACATCTTGTTACCACTTCAAGAATCCAGCTTTGACACCACAAGGGCCACGCCCTAAGAGTAAAGCCCCATGCCTTAGGGTAAAGCCTGCTTTCTCAGTCTTCTATACAAAAGCCTAATATCAATCTTTCACAAGATGCACAGTTGAGGAGCTTTCCACACATCCACCCAAACAAAATATAAAGCCAAACCTACACAAGTTCAAGGTGTTCAGCCAGAAATTGATCTGCCTGTGAGAACAAAAACAAGATCTTTCTCAGAAGATAACAGAATGCAGAGTTTCTACCATGTATTATGAACATTACCCAATATACAAAAAGATTACTAGATATGTAAAGAAACAGGAAAATGTGATCCATAGTCAAGAACAAAAGAAATCAATGAAACTATGTCTTAATGAGTGAGTAGATAGGGAATTTCAGCAGAGAAATGGAAATATATATATATATATATATATATATATATATATATATATATGAAGCAGCTATTATCAAACATTGGGAAAAAGGCAACACAAATCATGATCCCTAAGAGAAACTCATGAAGTATACCTCACATTGTTGTCTTTCTGCCTAGGAAAGTCTCCACATTGAACTCCACATTCAGTTCACTCCAGAACTGAAAGTCTTCTCTAATATGAAACACAGAAATAAACTAATTTGAATAAAAATAAGTAGAGCTTAAGAATGGCATGTTTAAAGTGAGGAACAAAAGCAAAGAAGAAACAAATAAAAACCTTGTTAGCCCACAATTCTATATCCAGTGAAAATATATTTCAATAACTAGGGTGAAATAAAGACATTTTCAGATAAGTAAAAGCTTAAAGAATTCATCACTAACACACCTGCAACATGAGACAAGCTAAATTCTTTAGGCTAATAGGAAAGGATACAGAAGGAAAGTCATATTTAAGGGAGGAAAGACAAGCTCCAGAAATGGTAAATAAAAGGTACATTTACAAGAAAATATTATTTGTTCTCATAATTTTCTTAAAAGTGAGCTGATTACTAAAGCAAAATTAATAATGTAATTGGATTTTACAACGTTTATGGAAATAAAAGATATGGCAATGATAGCACGAAGAAACAGAATTATACTGTTGGAAGTTGATTACAGACTGGAGACAAAAATTTATAATACATAATCTGACACAGGATTATATCCAGAATATATAAATACTTCTTATAGCTCAATAGTAAGAAGTCAAACAACCCAATAAAAAAGAGCAGATTTGGACACTACAGAAGGAGACATACAGATAAGCCAACAAGCACATGAACACATGCTCAACATCTTTCATCATTAGGGAAATGCAATTTAAAACAAGAGGGACATTCTCTGACGAACCCACTAGAATGACTATAATTAAAAAGATTGACAACAGCAAATGTTGGTGAGGATCTAGAGCAACCAGAATTGATGTAAAATGATACAATCTTTTTGGGGAACACTTTGGTAGTTTCTTATAAAGTTATGCATACACTTATCATCAATTCCTCTTCTAGGTATTTGCCCAGAGAACTGAAAGCATATGTCCTCACAGGCTTGTATACATTTGTTTTGGCAGCTTTGCTTAAAATAGTCAAAAACTGAAAATAATCCAAATGTTCATCAAAAGGGGGAATGGATAAACAAATTATGGTGCAGCCACTGAATGATTTTCAGCAATAAGAAGGAACAAGTATCAACATACACAAGATGGATAAATGTCAAAGGCTTATGCTGAGCTAAAGAAGCCAGGCACAGAAGAGTATATACCATATGATTCCATTTATATCAAACTTCAGAACAGGCACAATTAATCTCTATTGATAGAAAACAGATCAATGGTTGCCTGGAGCCAGGCGTCGGTGGTTGCCTGGAGCCAGGCGTGGGTGGATGCCTGCAGAGAGACATAAGGGAACTTTTTGGGTGATGAAATGTTCTATATTTGTCTTTACTAGGGTGGAGGTTTCACAAATTATACATTTGTCAAAAATCATTGAACTGTACCCTTAAAATGGGTACAGTTTACATTATGTGAGTTATACCTCAATAAAGATGGTTTAAAAATTGACATGGTCATGATATTGTGGGTTGCTGTCACATGGCATTTATACTTTTGGACATAGCTCTAGATACTCATGTCACCCAGAAATCCAGGTGAAGATAAAGGAATAATAACATGAAAAAGGAAAAAGAGAAAATAAAAATTACAGTTTATAGTTTCTAAATTCTTGTTAGCTTAGAAATACAATGACAGACCAGGCGCAGTGGCTCACGCCTCTAATTCCAGCACTTTAGGAGGCTGAGGTAGGTGGATCACTTGAGGTCAGAAGTTCAAGACCAGTCTGACTAACATGGTGAAACCCTGTCTCTACTAAAAATACAAAAATTAGTCATGTGTGGTGGCATGTGCCTGTAATCCCGGCTATTCGGGAGGCTGAGGCAAGAGAATTGCTTGAACCTGGGAGGAAGAGGTTGTAGTGAGCCGAGATTGTGCCACTGAACTCTAGCCTGGGCAACAGAGTGAGACTCTGTCTCAAAAAAAAAATATATATATATATGGATATATATGTGTATATATATGTATATCCATATATATATATGTGTATATATATGTATATCCATATATATATATGTATACACACACATATATATGTATACACATTGGATATATATATATATATCCAATGACATGCTATATAATCTTCGAAGGGTAGGAAATGGCTGTTGAATGGTGATGGGAAAGTGTATTAATTCATTCTCACTCTCATGGTGCTATGAAGAAATACTTGAGACTGGGTAATGTATAAAGGAAAGAGGTTTAACTGACTCACAGTTCAGCATGGTTGGGGAGGCCTCAGGAAACTTACAATCATGGCAGAAGGAGAACTGCAAACACGTCCTTCTTCACATGGTAGCAGGAAAGAGAAGTGCTGAACAAAAGAGGGAAAATCCCCTTATAAAATCATCAGATCTCATGAGAACTCACTCACTATCATGAGAACAGCATGAGGGTAACTGCCCCCATGATTCAATTACCTCCCGCCGGGTCCCTCCCAAGACATGTGGGGAACAATTTCAGATGAGATTGGGTGGGGACACAGCCAAACCATATCAGAAAGTTAGTTTATTCAAGTGAATGTGGGAAACACCTTCTGGAAATAGAAAAACTGGCATCCTATCCTGGTGTGTACCATCACATAAAAAGCAATAAATCCATGATTATCAACTTTATATGAATTAGAAGAGAGCTAAATGCACTCAACATTAAAACTCTGCTGAATAGTACTGGCTTTTGAATGACTCACCACGCTTGTCATCCCTTGGGCCATCATTTATAGACATTGTGCTATCAAAGAACTGAAGAGATTCATACAGAGATTAACAGATATCCTCTTAGTAGAAGGTGGGCAGCAAGGGAGTTTAATGCAGTTGTGTTTAAAAAGAGGCTATTCTGAAGTATAAAAAAGTGAATCCAATGAAGGAGATTTCAGGAACAATGGAGCCCAGTGAGGTGGGCCTAGTTTTCATCACCTTGGATCTCATATCACCATAAGCAAGCTTTTCTCCCTATTTGCAGAGGCCAGGAGGTGTTTTTCTCATCTGGTAAACATGTTTATTTTGGTAAGCAAAATAAACAATTTGCATTTCCTTGGAAAAAGTCCCATTATTTAAAGACGTTTTGGATTTTACCTTTTAACCACTCAAAAAAAAAAAAAAGTTACAAATGAAAAAAGACAAATGAGACAATCAACCAATTAAAATGTATTAAAATGTATGGCCCTAATAATTTAAAGCCTTATTAGAATAAATAAAATGTAAAAGCAAAGAAAAAATGTATAGGGACATGTGAATACTACTAGGTGAACATTGAATAGTATTCAGAAATCATTGTTAAAAATGTTTAGGTGTGATGACGGATTTGGGGTTTTGTTTTTAAAAAGTCATTTTTATGTACATACTGACATATTTATAGATGAAATAATGTAATGTGTGGCATTTGCCACTATATAATACCGTATATAGTGGCAAATGGGGAGGAGAACTATAAAACTTTGACTTAATATCAGATTCTTAAGGGAAAATAGCTCATGGGATTAATTATTATGGGTAAGTGTGAAAGTTTATTCTAGTGTGATGCTCTGGGAAACAGCTTTGGTGTTTCCTCTTCAAGCATTTGAAGCATGCTCCTAACCAGAGCCATAGAACAGTATCAAGAGCCCTCATAGCATTTTATTCTTTGGTTCAGAACTGCCTTATGCTCCACTGCCTTTTCCTTTTGCCCATGACACTCAGTCTCCATCTTTCTTGGCTTACAGCTGGCTACCCTGTCTTTCCTGGTGCTGATTCCAGGTTGATAGCTCTGATTAAGCCTTGGCACTTCCTTGGCACGCTGTTTCCGGTATGGACTCCTTTATCTCTGCATACACCCCAACCACAGCCAAGTGGCACGATGTTCTCCAATGTTCCCAACCTCCTGGGTAAAACACTGGAAGAAGCTCCAAAGAACCTGTCTGTTTGACAATGTAGAAAGGAAACTGATGTAAATACATAGTTTTCACATCTAACCATCAGAATCGAAAGAGAAAAGAGTGACACTATAGGTGCATTACAATTTCACTGAGGAGTTGGATAAGCAGAATTACAGATACCACAGGAACAATCCTGGAAACTGATTAAATTCACTTTCTAGTTATACTTTGAATTTCATCAGAATGCTATAAATTGTCATTTAAAAACCATGGTTCAAGTAATATAATATTTTTCAAACTGCAGGACATGTTCCTTTCATGGGTTGCGAAATTAATTTAATAGGCAGCCAAAAACATTTGTAACAGACTAGTCTAGACTAGTCTGGAAGGAAATAAATGGAAAATATTAAAGTGAATCATACATAGTAAGAGTGAATATACTTTCTATAGAACTTTTGTTTTAGTTTAGCAAGTGTGTGTGTGTGTGTGTGTGTGTGTGTGTGTGTGTGTGTGTTGTCACAGTATAAAATCAATTTCTTACTGTGACCATTTCCAAAAATATTTGAAAATCCTTATGTAATGAATTTCTATATATGATATCAAAAAACCAAAAGGATTCAGGGGGCAAAAAAGGTAACTCTGAAGGAAAATTTCTGTCAAAACAAAATCCTGGTAATTCAATAACTAACTTGTTACCCGAATCAGAGAGCTAATCCATGCCAACCAGTCAGAAACCGTAAATAACCTGGCAGAAGGAACAGGCTACTAGATGTCATCTGATTTGTTCTTTTTGTGTGGTTTTGCTGACTATGTTTTCCTGTTGAATTTAAAAGGCCCCACTCATTTTTGTTACTTGGTAACTGCCATTTTCAGACTAGCTTTTGTCTGTTTCTAGATGAAGCCTGCAGGACACCAGCTGACAGTGGAAGGACTGAGGAAGGTTGTATAATTTTGTGCAAGGTCCACCACAAATCCAGCTGAAGAACTGCTCCAAAGTTTAGGTCATGGCAAGAACAAGGTAAGATGACATTAGTCACTCAAACACAGACTCAAGCTGCAACAACTAATGCTCCTATGAGACTGGCTATATGCCAAAGTCATATTTGGCCAAAGAATATATGCCCTTTGAAATCCCAGCAGGCATAGACCTACAAATTCTCAGCTAATGAGATGTTCATTCATTTTTACAGCTCCAGGGTGGAGAAAACAATTTCCCCCTTGCCAAATTTTTCTTTTATGTAAAACTTTAAATAAGAACTAAGAGATTTCATAGTGTCTGCAAACCTGGAAGTTTTTAATACAAATCCTCTAAAAGTTTGTGTCACTCACAGCTTCTTGCTGGTTTTTTTTTTTTTTTTTTTTTTTTTTTTAGAGCCTCCTCAAAATGGACTTGCATATTCCCCTTCTAGAAGGAGTAGATTATTCAAACCCTTTAAATCAAAGCTGGGCATGGTAGCTCATGCCTGTAATCCCAGCACTTTGGGAGGCTGAGGCGGGCGGATCACTTGAGATTAGGAGTTTGAGACCAGCCTGGCCAACGTGGTGAAACCTTGTTTCTACTAAAAATACAAAAATTAGCCAGGCATGGTGGCGGGCAGCTGTAATCCCACCTATTTGGGAGGCTGAGGCAGGAGAATTGCTTGAACCCAGAAGGCGGAGGCTACAGTGAGCCGAGATTGCACCCCTGTACTCCAGCCTGGGTGACAGAGCAAGAATCCATCTCATAACAAAAACCAAAACCAAAACCAAAAACAACAAACTCTTTAATTCAAGAGGTGAATCCTGAATCCCCATCTGGAAGGTTGTGGGAGGGCATAATCGTGATAGAAAATCTATCTCAAAATGACATTTGGGAAATGAAATGTTCAAATTCTGACCAAGGGGGTCAGAAGGGAACAAGTCTGAAAGTCTTAAAAGGGGAAGGTGGGGTGGGGAACACAATTGGAGTGAAATCACAAGAAATGTGAAATGTACTTATCAGTTGGCTTCACAATGTGCTCTTATTGGTTGTGTGTCCCTGGGCACCAAGGAGGCCAGGCCTACCATATTGAAAGCAGAATGGAGGGGAGCTCAGCATGGCTCCTCTGAGTAGTCACAAGTGATTCATACAGGCCCAGCTGGGACCCCAAGAAGAAGGGAGAGGTTGCAGTAGTGTGGACACTGTGGGTTTCCAGGAACCATAGGAATCCACAGCTCCAGCTCAACAATGATGCAAACCAGGACCTTGCCAAGCTGTCTTCTCCCAGAGAACAGAGTCTGCTCAGGCTTATGTTCTTGCCTCATTGCAAGTTTCAAATGAGGTGACAAGAATGGCATCTGGAACATTTCCTGGCAGAGAGGGCATTTCTCCCCTCCCCTCTCCCAGAGCTTGTTCCTTTTCTTACCTCTCTCTGTTCCTGCTTCACATTGAAAGAGGCTGGCAATGAAATGAGACCAAACCTTCGTTCAAATACAGCCTCGCTACTTGCTTGCTTAGAGCAAATCACTGGACTCCTGTAAGCCTCAGTTTCCTCAGCAATAAAAGTAAGAGATAATAACACTTACCTTATAGAGTTGTATGAGGATTGGGAGAATGTACATAATGTGCTCTACAAACATTCAACACTCAAAGTCAGGGCTTCTCAACTTTGTACTTTAATAATTCGGCCAGGTCATTCTTTGTTGTAGGGAGCTGTCTTGTGCATTGTAGGATGTGTAACAGCATCCCTGATCTCTACAAACAGGATACTAGTAGTACCTTCCCTCTCCTCGCCACAGTGTGACAACCAAGAATGCCTCTAGATATTGCCAAAGGTCCCCTGAGGGCAAAATCAGGCCTGGTTGACTATGACTTCCATCTTGTTTTCCTTTCTCTCTCTCTCTCTCTGTCTGTCTCTCTCTCTCTGTCTCGGAGTCTTGGGAAAGCGAACTGTCATGTTATGAACAGCCCAGATCAGAAGTAACTAATGTCCTAAGCAAATAGCTAGCAAGCACCTGAGGCTTGCCTGCAGCCAAGTGAGTGACTTTGGAAAAGGACCTTTACACGGTTGAGCCCTGAGATGACTGCAGCCCTAGATGATGCACTGATTACAGCCTTTGACAGATCCCGAGTTAGAGGCACTCAGTAAAGCCATGCCCCTGCTCCTGACCCACAGAAACTCTGAGATAATAAATGCTTATTCTTTTAAGCTGCTAAGTTTTGGGGTCATTTGTAATGCAGCCATAGGTAACTAAGACAAGGACCAACAATGATCAAGTAATATATCAGTGTTGAATGGGAAGCAGATGAGTCAGGTGGAGTCTATGCACGTAAGAGATCTCAGAGGTGACCCCACAGGCAGATCCTGAGGTTTCCATGGTATTGGGTGGGGAGGACATTTACATTCTTGCATCAGTATTGTTTGGTTGTCCCATATATATTTAGTGCTCTTTCTGTATATGACTTATTGAAACATCCCCTTTATCTTTGTAGGGCTGTGGCTTACCATTTAAAAATGTTAAACGAAATGTCTCTTATTCTAAATTAATTTTATCCTCTTATTCACTGTATATGAATACATTTTTCTTGGCTATCATCAGTGCTATACTAGTTTGTGTTCTCATTTTCCTAAACATGTTTTATTATAAATGTAACGAATAATTAATATAAAGAAATTGAAACAGTGGGGGAAAGCAGAATTTTTATGAGAATTAACCATTGTTAACAATTTAGTATGTATCTTTCCAGATATTTTCCATGAAACACAATTATGCCACATAAATACATATTTTTGTTTCAAGATTCTTTGGTTTCAAGGGATAGAAACCAAAGCAAACTGGCTTAAGCATAAAGATTTACTTGGCTTGGATAATCAAAATTCTGGAAGCATACGAGTAGAGTTACCTACCTTGGAGATGATTGAAGCCAGGACTAGAACATCCCCAGGAATCATTCTTTTTGTCTCTCATCTCTATGTCTCAAGGTGTGTTGGCTTCATTCTCCCACACTGGGTTTTCCATGAGTCAAGGATGTGGCCAGCACTTCCTGGCTCTGAGTCTCTTACAACTTTATGACTGAAGTAAAAAGGGGTGTTGGTCTCCCAGCTTGAAAAATCCCAGGGAATGTTTCTGATTGGTTTAGCCTGTTGATTAACCACTCCAGTCAAGGGTGTGAGGTATTATGAGAAGCTGAGCTGGAGTCACATGTCTAATCTATTGCTGGAGAAGGTTACTAGACAAAGTAGGGGAAGCAGTGCTTGGCAGCCAATAACAATAGGCACCTATCACAATCTTTTATCCAAGTATTATCATGATGTGCATCATTAGTCTCAATTTGTTTTAATAAGTAAATTACATATCACAGGCTTCTTTACATATGAACATATATTATGCTCAGTCTATTCAACAGTCTACACTCAATAGCACAGAAATATGAACTGTTTTAGTTTTTTTCTCCAATCATTTATTTCAACCGTATTCCATGAAATCTCCCTTTCCTGCCCTTAAGAATATCTTGGGCAGATCTCATAGCTTTCTGGTTACTTTTTATTATTAAAATGCGCTTTCCTATCTCGAGTAGTTTAAAAACTAAATCTTATATCCAATATGATGTTCATTCTCTTTCTCAAACCACCAGGCCAGGGTAAGCTTCAGGAAGGGGCTTGAGGTAAAGAAGGGCATGGCTCACCTTTTCACTTCTCCTGCCTTCCGTCTTCTGTGGTTGGAGTGAGAAGGAGGGAGAATAAGAAAGACATGTGTCTTTATATTTATGTGACTGTTGTGGGATGAACTGCATTCCCCTAAAATTTGTATATTGAAGCCCTAACTTCCTGTACCTCGGGTTGTGACTATATTTGGAAATAGGGCCTTAAATGAGGTGATTAAGTTAAAATGAGACCATCAAGGTGGACCCTAATTCAACCTGGCTGGTTTCTTTGTAAGAACAGGAAATATGGTCATAAAAAGAGATACCTTGCATGCACGCCCACAAGGATGACCATCTAAAGCAAGCTAGAGAGGCCGCAGAGGAAACCAGCCCTTGATTAGTTCCAGTCTCCAGAAATGTGAGAAAATAAATTTCTGTTTTTTAAGTCATTGGTCCTCAACCTTTTTGGCACCAGGGACTGGTTTCCTGAAAGACAATTTTTCCACGGATGGGAGGCAGGGATGGTTTTGGAATGAAACTTTTCCACCTCAGATCATCAGGTATTACTTAGATTCTCATAAGGAGAGCACAACCTAGATACCTTGCATGCGCAGTTCGCAATAGGGTTCGTTCTCCTATTAGAATCTCATGCTGCTGCTGATCTAACAGGAGGTGGAGCTCAGGCGGTAATACTGGCTGGCCCGCCACTCACTTCATGCTGTTTAGCCTAGTTCCTAACAGGCCATGGACTTGTACCAGTCTGTGGCCCAGGGGCTGGGGACCCCTGCTTTAAGCCAACCAGTCTGTGGCTTATACACAAGTGTTCACAAAAGTCCTTATAAGCAGGAGGCAAGAGTTAGGATCAGGGAAGGAGATGTGATGTGGAGGTAGAGGTAGAGTGATGTAAGGAAGGGGGCATGAGCCAAGAAGGGCAGATAGCCTCTAGAAGCTGAAAAAGTCATGTAAGATAATAAATTTGTGTTGTTTTAAACTAATGCGTTTGTGACAGCAGCAATAAGAAAGTATAAACTCTTTATTTATGTTCTTAAAAGAGATGTATTGAATGCTGTGAGATAGGATATTTAAACATTTTTATTGTAATACAATTTCAGACGTTCAAAAAAGTCACAAGAATAATATAAGAAACACTTGTGTTCCCTTTATTCTGATTCATCAATTGTTAGTGTTTCATTCCATATGCTTTATCATTTGCTCTTACTCACTCTTTGTTTTCCTAAACCATTTGAAAGTAATTTTCGCATATCTGCTAGCCACAAATTCTTTATAGTTTGTATATCCTAAAAGCAGGGACTTATCTTATGGAACCACACTGCAATGATCAACATCATAAACCATAACTTTGATATAATACTATAACCTAAAATTCAGATTTGAATTGCTCTAATTGTCCCAGTAATGTTTTTTTGTGGTTGTTATTTTTCCTGGCCCAGGGCCCAATCCAGGAGCATCTTGTGAATTTAGTTGTCATGTCTCTTTAGTCTCTTATAGTCTGTAACAGCTTCTTTATCTCTCCTTGTCTTTCGTGTTTTTGAAAATTGTGGAGTAAAGGCTAGTTATTTCATAAGATATTTTTAAATTTTACTTTGAAGTTTCTGCATAATTAGATTCAGGTTATACATGTTTGGCAGATATACCACAGGCATGATATTGTGTCTTAGTCTGTGCACCATATCAGGAGGCACACAACATCAGCTTGTTCCATTATTGATGATGTTAATGCATTACTGATGATGTAAAATTGCTATTAATATTTCCCTTTGTAATTAGTAAGTAATTTGTAGGCAGAATACTTTGAAATTACCTTCTCAACTCCACCAACCACAGTGTTGATTCTCGCCTTTCCCTATTTCTATTTGTTAACTCCTTTGACATTGAGACACATGGCTTCCATTATGTAATATGATATTTTAACCTGTCTGAAATGATTTTTCATGCCAGTATTTTCCCATTATTTACTACTTATAGTTCCTATGAATAGAGAAAATGTATGTGCATTTAATTATAAAATCTTGTTCAAATTATTTTTAAAGGTTCTTTTTGGGACTTTCATGTTGCCAAAACATTGTTACTTTTCTACAATGTTAATTTTAGTTTTATTTTGTGATTTTTTGGGGGTGGGGAGGGGAGAGAAAATTTATTGGAAGATATATAAAAGGTTTACAACTTAGATAATAAAATAAATTACTCTTTAGTTTAAGAATTTCAACTGACCTAAGGCGTTATTACCCGGAAGGCCCCAGGGTTGGTGGCACAGCTATGGTTATTCAAGTTCCTGTTACTCGCGTCCGTATAAGAGACCACCTGAGCAGGCTTAGTGTGAGCAACAAGACCGTTTATTCACTTGGGCGCAAGTGGGCTGAGTCTGAGAAAGGAGTCAGCGAAGGGTGGAGGGATTATCATTGTTTCTTATAGGTTTGGGATAGGCGGTAGAGTCAGGAGCAATTTTTTGTGGGCAGGGGATGGATGTTACAAAGTACATTCTCAAGGGCGGGGAGGATGTTACTAAGTACATTCACAAGGGCAGGGAGGGTGTATTGTCACAAGGGCTGGGAGGATGTTACGAAGTACATTCACAAGGATGGGGAATATCATAAAGCACATTATCACAAGGGTGGGGGAATGTCACGATGGCTTGACTGTGGTGTGGCCAGCTCAGAGGACCATACAGTTCCAATGAACATCACAGAAGGGCTTCTTCCATGGTAAGCGTTTTCCTTTATTGCACATGAGGACGCTTTTGACTTCAGTGAGAAACTTCTGATGGATTCTAATGATGTCTTAGTGACTCTAAATGGTATGTTGCCTCAGGGCTGCACTTTCATCCACTTCAGGTTTCAAGCTGGGTCAGGCTTGGGCAGAACTGGTTTTTCTATAGGATCATCTAAATCAGGGGTTCCCAACCCCCAGGCTGTATACTGGTACTGGTCTGTGGCCTGTTAGGAACTAGGCTGTACAGCAGGAGATGAGGAGCGGTGGGGGGACGAGCATTACTGCCTGAGCTCCACCTCCTATCAGATCAGCAGTAGCATTAGTTTCTCATAGAAGCATGAACCCTATTGTAAACTGTGTTTGAGAGATCTAGGTTGTGTGCTCCTTATGAGAATCTAACTAATCCCTGATGATCTGAGGTGGAACAATTTTATCCCAAAACCATCCCCACATCCCCACCTCTCTGTGGAAAGATTTTCTTCCACAAAACCAATCCTTGGTGCCAAAAATTTGGAGACCACTGATCTAAACAGATTGGTGGCTTTCCATTTCCTGAGGGTGGTAAATTTAAAATCAGAATCCACTATTTGATATGGTTATCTAGCTTGACTTAAGGACAGAAGGGCCAGGGAACAGAATAGTCATGATACAATTATTCTGATGAAGAGTCTCTCGATTATGGGAAGAACTGTTTTGCTCAGAGCACACTGTGGAAGAGAGGAAAACCAGGGTGCAGTACCAACATACTATGAACCTAAACATCAGAAAAGATTCCTAAGGATATCTGACGTGCATTTCCAGGAAAGAGCAGAATGGCTATACATGTGGACTTGACCCCAGAAAGATTTGGTTTGAGTCCTGGTACCACTATTTGTTTACTGAATGACTCTGGCCTACTTACTTAACTTTTTTAAAGGTTTGGTTTCCTGCTCTATAAAATAGGGATAATAAAGGTGCTTATATTGCATGGTTGTTGTGAATAGTTCTTAATATGTATCCCAAGCTCAGCAAATGTCAGTTCACTGTAATTTTACAGATTTTACCTAATAAAGACTTCAATTTGTCAATTCTTAGTTTTGTTGAATCTTGAGGGAAAGGGTCAAAAGTGATCATTTTTTCATTGGCAGGTTGCTCTTTAAAACAACAGGATCATGTCCTGCAACCAACCACGTGGGTGGGGAGAATGTGTGAACTCCCTATTGATGATCATGATGCAGCTGAATAAAATTTGTCACCTCAGTGTGCTACAATGTACCTACCATGATGCCAAATATCTTGTGGACACATTCCAGGACACAGAGAGTAATACTGTGGCACAATTGTGTGCATGTAAATTATGGATTTCTTATTTTCTTTTGTAATAGTTGGTGGAACTACCATGTTTCCAATATGAAATGTCATGGGGAACTATATGTGAAATAATATTAAGAGAATAAAAAGCAGGATCCTACCAGCTGCTTTTCTCAATCACTATTGGTAATTCAAAGGCACATTGAAATAGTTTGGCTCGTGTCCCCACCCAAATCTCATCTCAAATTGTAATCCCCATGTGTGGAGGGAGGAGGGGTGATTGGATCATGGAGGTGGTTTCCCCTATACTGTTCTCCTGAAGTGAGTGAGTTCTCACAAGATCTGACAGTTTTATAAGTTTTTGACAGTTCCTCCTTCACACACTCACACTCTTCTCCCTGCTGCCACCCTGTGAAAGAAGGTGCCTGCTTCCTCATGCCCCATGATTGTAAGTTTCCTGAGGCCTCCCCAGCCATGTGGAACTGTGAGTGAATTAAACCTTTTTCCTTTATAAATTACCTAGTCTCAAGGAAGTTCTTTATAACAGTGTGAAAATGAACTAATACACACATAAATTCAGGTCAAAGTCCTCGCCTGTCCACAAATACCACAGGACCTGGGCACCGGAAATGCCCAGTTCTGTAGATCTGGGGACTGTTCCTGCTTTTGGCCATGGTGGTCAGGTTTGTTCCCAGCTTAGTCTTTGAATTTAGTTTTTGCTATATGTTCTCAAACTCTCTTTCCCAGGGTCTACAAGTGGCATCCACCAATGGTCTCTAAAGCATCATGCTCCGTGTCCAGGTCTAGGACATCATAGGTGTTTAAAGGATACCTAGAATTTTTACCTCTTCCAGGAGACATCCAGGGAGGGTGGGCCTTGGTAGGAGGGGTCTTCTGAATCCACAGGACCTCCATAGGCCTTGTCTAGAGTGAGACCAGACCACCTGGTTGAGGAATAATCCCACTCCAAGACTTGATGTGGAGTCTAGGACCCAGAACTTGACTCATTATGGCTCCCTTGGCTTTGTGATACTGTTATAGAACCAAAGTGGGGTCCACTGGCCTGGCACAGTAAGGCCAGACATCCACACTGAGGTTTGAAGTGGCAAGAAAGGAAGGTATTTATTTGCAGGGCACCAAGAAAGGAGAATTGGCAGCTAATGCTTATGTCCTGACTTCCCAATGGCTTGCAAGTAAGGGTTTTTAAAAGCAGGGGTAAATTTCAGGAAAGCAGAAGTTACAGGCAAGATCATAAATCAATACATGGAGGCTACACATGGGTTTTGGCCTGAAAGGGTGGGGGATCTTGAAGCAGGAGCTTACAGGTCATAGGCAGGTTCAAAGATTTTCTCTTTTACAATTGGTTAAGGAAGAGAAGCTTTGTTTAAAAATTTAAGGTCAGCAGAAAGAATGTTAGCTCTGGCTCATGGGTGTGACTTCCTCCAGGACACTCAGGAAGAAATTTAGAACAAAGAATGGTTATCAGAATTCAGTCCTCAGTTCTACATTATCTGAGGTCTATGTGCCAGTGTATCCATTTGTTGGAGGTCCAGGTTTCTGAAAAATAACTCGGGTACATATGTTAAGATGTTATCTTTAGTTTCTATAGGGAACCAAACATCTCGGGACTCTCAGTTCCTTGGCTATTGTTTCAGGCTACCATTACCTTCTTGTTTATCAAGCTGCTTATTCACTTTCAGGGCTAGCTAGGCATCTGGAATTTCCCTTGAAGGAGCTCAAGATTTTCCTTTATTTCCATGCTTGGGGACCCAGAGACCCCTAAAAGGGGTCCCTGCTCCATCTCAGTACCTGGATTTTCACTTCCTTGCTAAGTCAGTCAGTTATAAAAAGCAGATTCAGCTCTAGCCCACATCTGAGTAACTGAGAAATTATCATCTCCACTTGGCAAAAACGGAAGCGTGAAATGTGAGTCAGTTGTTTTATTCCACTTCCTAGTGGAGAGAGACAGTTTCTCATCCAGTGTGAATCGAGTCATTCAGGAAGAAACTCAATCCCAGAGAATTATTCAGATGGCGATTGCAGCCTGCTCCTAATTAGACACAGGCTGACTCAGGGGCCAGGGCCTGATGCGGCTGGCAAGCAGCTGTCTCACAGGCTCACTTCTTACTCAGTCTCCTGGCACCTGTGCCTCCCTCTATCAAATAAACACAATTATAATTACTCCCTATTTAAGTGCAGCACAACCTGATTTCCATGTTATTTATACTCCGCACCCCCAAAACACACACACCATCTAATGAGGAGGTGGGTTCCAGCTGCTGGAGGGCCCCTGAAGTGTGCAAGGCTGGAGGTGAACTCCCAGGCAGAGATGAACTGCTCACCAGGAACGGAACAGGGTGGCGCTACAGGAAAACAAAATTTCCAGGGGGTAAAAACAGAATAGGGAGACACAAGACCACAAGGTCAGGAAACAGGTCCAGGGCAAAGAAGAATCCAGCTTGGAGACCAGATACTTCCAAAGAGAACTGAGGATGTCAGGCTGAGATTTTGCATGGGAGTTTCCTATAGGATTTGTATAGGAGATTTTGTGTAGGAGCTTCCTATAGGATTTGTATGGGAGATTTTGTAAGATTTTGTGTAGGAGTTTTCCATAGAATTTGTATAGGAGATTTTGTAAGATTTTGTGTGGGAGTTTCCCATAGGATTTGTATGGGAGATTTTATAAGATTTTGTGTAGGAAACTCCTACACAAAATCTTGGTCAACATCTATGCAGTTCATTAATACTTTTGGTGCAGAACAGATTGTCTATTTATTTACTGGAAAGGAGAGAGATGCTGTGTCCTGCATCAAGGTTAGCAAGAGATGAAAAGAGAGGCTGAGTTACTTGTGTAGTTACAGTATTTTTTAAATGTCAATTTGCCAGCCTAATCTGTGAGCTACAATGAGGATAGGGATTGTGTCTCTTGTTAGCAGATCCCCAGTGCCTAGCACAATGTGAGCACATAATAGGTGTTCAAACAGTTATTGTGTGAATACGTTGAATGCCTCCACTTAATGGCTCCATACAACTTCTGATTCCCAACTGAACTGAAGTCTAAAATAATGTTTTTTGTCCCTTTGCCTAGGGTTCACAGGGCACATTAGAAAGCTGATGATTTGGAGCATGGTAGGAGTGGCAGCAGCAGCTTTAGGGCAATGCTTTCAGAAAGATGTTCTTCAGCCCTCAGGAAGTGGTACTGCTGGCTGACAACACAGCTGGAACCCCACATAGAGGAAATAACACGGGCCATCAAGATGCCCACTCTAACAAGGGAGACCAATCTGATTTCCATAAGTATTAAAGTCAAATGTTGCTAGGGGATTTTGCATGCTGATTCATAGAGAAAAATAAAGCTTTGCTTAAAGAATGCATACATTCTTTCTGTTTACCCTCTGGGAACATCCATTATAAAGAGAAATTGAACTCTAATTGTACTCAATTGTGACACTTAGAAAGAAATATAAAGTATATGTAGTTGCAACAACCTTCAGTCTTTTCTCTAGGCTAAATGGAACATACTAAATTGAGAAGGAGGTGCTATAGGCTTCATGGTATCCCTAGAATAAAATGGTATAAATAGTATTTTGAATCAGAAGATGTGGCTTAAAGGCCCAACTCAACCACTTACCAGCGATGTGAGTTCCAAGGCTTATTTTAATAACTGATTCTGATTTTGCTTAAGTTCTTAATTTCAATAAAAAGTATAACCTTAACTGTATAAAACCAGTAATCAAATTGCGGGAAGATTTTTTAAAAAGAGCAAGAAAAATATTCCTAATTAATGACATTTTAATATTTCTTTATATTTGTAGTTTTTCTATCGTGTCTAGGTATGGCTCTTGTTTTGCTTAACTTTATTTGAGACCTAATGTACTTCACCATTCTGAGGACTTATGTTCTCTTTAATTCTAAAAATTGTTCTGATTTTATCTTTTTCAGATGCCCTCTATTCTTTCTACTTTGTCGTTCTGGAACTCCTATTTGGTAATGTTGAACTTTATCTGAAATCTGTGCTTTTGGAAAGCAGGGGTGGTTCAGAAATCTCCCCATGCTTTTGTATTCTGGAAATAGCTAACCTCAAAGGGCACCCTGCCCTTGTATAGTCTGATATAAGACACATTTCTATTCTTCCTCATTACTCCGTTAGACTCTCGATGACTCTCTTGTTTACCTGCCTCTGCAAACCCAGTTTCCCTTCCTTTTCACTGAAACGTTACTCGTTAATGAACATTCATCTATTGCTATAGACTGAATAAAATAATCTCCTTAATTTCTTGGTGCACTTTGTCTTTGATATGTTAGACACGCTAGATACATATAGCAATAACCTTCTCACCCATTTATCCTCGTTGCTGCTTCTATTTCATGATGAATCTCCACCTCTTTTTCTCTGTGTTATATTGTGAGTACTTTGTTCAAATGTATCCACCAGTTTGCTAATTCTCTATTCAGTGTTGAATCTGATATTTAAACAGGTTTTCATTTCTAAAAGTTATATTTGTTCTTTCTCCCTCTCTGCCTATTCTTTACACATCCCATTGTTCTTTCATGATGATATGATTGCAGGACTTTTCCTTAGTTCAGCTAAAGACGGGGTCCTTGTCCCATAGCCACGAAAGTTCAGACTTGCAGATAGTTTGAAGGGTGAGTAAAACAGGGTTTTATTGGGTGAAAAGGAAATAAAGGGGGAAACAGGGACCCTTCACAAGGCCAGACTTCCTCTCATGTGCTTCTCGCCTCACAGCTTGAATCCTAGTTTCCACACACAGGAAGAGGAGGGGCTAGGCTCCTCTCACCTGAAAATGGGGTGAACCTCTGTGGCTCTGCCCCAGGGTGCAGGCCAGTTGGAGTTTTGCCAGGGACCCTCTCTCACCTGGCTGTCTCAATATCTTTAATTATTTTAAACATACTTCTATTTTAATCTGATAGATTGCTATATTTTCTCCAGACCATGAAAATATTGCTTCTCCTGTTTGTTGCATCTGCCAATTCTCCCTCAAGGTAGATTGTTTCCTCGTGTAGTTCATAATTTCTTATTGTAAAGTTACCTTAGTGTTTCATTTTTTTTGGAAGGTGATGGTGGTGACTCCTCTGTGCTCTGAATTGTCAAAGAATCACTACAAAATTATTTGGAGTTTGCTTCTACTTCAGTCCTAGAGTCTCACAAATTCACATTTTTTTTTTTTGAGACACTCTGACACCTAGGCTGGAGTGCAGTAGCGCAATCTCGCTCACTGCAGCCTCCATCTCCTGGGCCTAAGTGATCTTCCCACCTCAGCCCCCCGAGTAGCTGGGACTACAGGGGTGCACTACCATACCTGGCTAATTTTTTGTATTATTTTTTGTAGAGACAGGGTTTCACCATTTTGCCCAGGCTGGTCTTGAACTCCTGGGCTCAAGTGATCATCTGCCTAGGCCTCTCAAAGTGCTGAGATTACAGACGTGAGCTACCGTGCCTGGCCCAATTTTTTTTTTTAGTTTAATTTATTTTTTATTTATTTATTTATTTTTGAGACAGAGTCTCACTGTGTTGTCCAGGCTAGAGTGCAGTAGTGCAATCTAGGCTCACTGCAATCTCCACCTCCTGGGTTCAAGCGATTCTTGTGCCTCAGCCTCCTGAGTAGCTGAGATTGCAGGCATGTGCTAATTTTTGTATTTTTATTAGACACAGGGTCTCACCATGTTGGCCAGGTGGTCTTGAACTCCTGACCTCAAGTGATCCACCTGCCTTGGACTTCCAAAGGGCTGGGATTACAGGTATGAGCCACTGTGCCTGGCCTATTTTTATTTATTTTTTTTGAGACAGAGTCTTGCTCTGTCACCCAGGCTGGAGTGCAGTGGCGCAATCTCAGCTCACTTCAACCTCCTCCTCCTGGGTTCAAGTGATTCTCCTGCCTCAGCCTCCTGAGTAGCTGGGATTACAGGCATGCACCACCATACCCGGCTAATTTTTGTATTTTTAGTAGAGATGGGGGTCTCACCATGTTGCACAGGTGGTCTCAAACTCCTGGCCTTAAGTGATCCACCCCGCTTGGCCTCCCAAAATGCTGGGATTACAGATGTGAGCCACTGGGACATGCCTTAATTTCTTTTTTAGAGACAGTTTCCTGCTCTGTTGCTGAGGCTGGAGTGCAGTGGCGCCATCATAGCTCACTGGAGCCTTGATCTCTTGTGCTCAAGTGATCCTCCTGCCTTAGCCTCTCTAGTAGCTGGGACTATAGGCATGGACTACTATGCCTGGCTAATCCTAGACAAATTTTAATGTTAATTTATCACTTTGGTTTCCTGCAAGAGAAAGGTAATGAAAATTTGGACCCTATAACCTTATATGGCATGGGCTTTGATTTCCTATGAGTTACATATTTTCCACCCAGGTTCCTGGTTAACTTCAAGATCTATTGACACTTTCCCAGGCTAGTGGATGGGGGTTTCCCTAGTCCCGTTTTCATAGATAGGATAGCTTTCCAAAATTCTCAGGTTTTTTTTTTTTTTTTTTTTTTTTGCCAGAGACATAGTTCCAGTTCCCTCTTCATGTGAGCTGCTTACACACATAGGCTTTTAAAATTATCCCTCAATAAAAACAAACAAACAAAACTGATCTGTTATAGATATGTAAGTCTTAATTCAACAAGAATCTCCCATGGATCTCTATATAATTTCCACACCTTTCCTGTTACCATAATATTGAATTGGATCATACAGATAGAGTATCTGTTTTCTTCCCAACATTGATCTCCATTATAAAACTCTTTTCCATTAAGAAAGTTTTGGGAGATGCTGACTCAGTTGTAGTCAGCAATGGCAAGAGCAGTCAAATTCAGATTTTCAAATGCTAAGCAGTGGAGGAAGAACACCCATATGGGGAGGAAATTTGGGACCTTATAATTAGAGTCCCAAGAGAGTCTCCTTCCCTTTGCAAGTTACTGTTGCTATCACCATGCTGACTTAGAGGGTGGCTACTATTCCCTATGTGTCTCTGTGAGCCCCATGTGGATCCACTTCCTTCACTTAAAACAGGGAAGAACAAAGAAGTCAGGGACATAAAATAGAGCTAGAAATGAGGCTATTACAAGGAAATGTACTAAGAAGTTTTTACATACTTGCTATTGATAGGGCATAAGTTTGTCTATACACTTTCCAAATGCCAGTTTTAAGTAGAAAACACAATTGGTTAACACATTTCATCTGTATTAGTCCCTTCTTGCACTTCCATAAAGAAGTACCTGGCCAGGAGTGGTGGCTCACACCTGTAATCCCAGCACTTTGGGAGGCAGGGGTTTGCTTGAGTTCAGGAGTTTGAGACCAGTGGGGACAAGATGGTGAAACCCTGCCTCTACAAAAAATACAAAAATTAACCTGTCATGGTGATGGCACATACCTGTAGTCCCAGCTACTTGGGAGGCTGAAGCAGGAGGATCAGCTGAGCCCAGGAAGCGGAGGTTGCAGTGAGCCAAGATTATGCCACTGTACTCTAGTCTGGGTAAGAGAGTGAGATCCTGTCTTGAAAAAAAAAAAAAAAGACAGACAGACAGACAGACAGAAAGAAAGACCTGAGACTGGGTAATTTATAAAGAAAGGAGGTTTAATTTGCTTGTGGTTCTGCAGGCTGTGTAGAAAGCATGGAAGCTTCTGCTTCTGGGGAGGCCTCAGGAAACTTACAATCATGGCAGAAGGTGAAGGGAAAGCAGGCATGTCTTACATGGTGGAGCAGGAGAAAAAGAGAGAGTGGGGAGGTGCTACACGTTTTTAAACAGCTAGATCTCATGACAACTCACTCACTGTCACAAGGACAGCACCCAGGGGGCGATGTTAAACCATTCAGGAAGGATCCACCTCCATACTTCAGTCACCTCCCACCAGGTGACTAACACTGGGGACTACAATTTGACGTGAGATTTGGGTGGGGACACAGAAACAAGCCATGTCAGTGAATAAGAGATAAAAACAAATTAGTTCCTCAACTGAAGTTTTGGGTGCTAATAAGTAAGGTGAACTAATATGAGGGGAAGGTGAAACAAATACTTCGCTATATCACTTGGAGTGAAGAGTATTAGAACCCAGAGTTCTTGCTTGAGGAAGAATAAATACACACTAACCTGTCTTTTAAGTGGGGCAGGCCTTCACAGATACCTTGTTTGCTGGGTAGAATATGCAGGTTTCGAGCCAGAGCTTAAGGGAGACTATGAACTATCCTGGTGGTCTTTCCCCATATTTCACTCAACCTTCCTTCTAAATGAAAGTAGAGTCTGAAGTAGCATCATGTTTTCCCAGCCTGGGTAGAGAATCCACATGTTTCCATCCAGGCCTGTTTGACGGTAAATTTCTCCTGGCACAGGCCCTTCCTTTTGTCTCCCTGATAATCTGTTTATTATATCCATATTTAGTTTTCTAGTTTTTATTCTCCGCTGATATTTGTTTCTGGGTCTCAGCCCTTTCAGGTTCCTATTACCCCTTTTTGTCACCCTACACATGTGGCTGACTGACCAACAACTAACAACTCTTTTCCTGAGTGGTACAACTTCATAGTAGTTCTGTAAATCAAGGGGGTAGAATTGCCAAGGAGTGGATAATGTGCCCCTAGGAATTCTAGCCGGAGTCAGGTTTTCTCTAGCCACTGTCTGTGTACTGGGCACTCTCTTCACTCAGCTTTTAATTTTTTGTTTTTGTTTTTTTAGGTTGGGGGTTCTTTGGGAGAGCACTGCCCTGACTGGTTTTAATTTCAGGTGGTGGAAAGAACTCTCAGACCTGAGAATCATGAGATTTGGGTTAGAAGGAGCTATATAACACTGAGCAAGTAATTCACTTTCCCACCTCATTCTTTATGTTCACATCTGGGAACAAAAGAGTTGAAATAGAATAGTAGATTTAAACGTTCTAAGATGCTATCTTCCAAGTAAGTTTTAAAAGGCAACCCAATAGATAAAAAGAGAGTTGCTGTATTTAAAGTGGAGGTTTGGGCTATGATAGTGGTGAGTGCTAGCCCCTTTCCTTTACTCCCCATGGAAGTTGCAGAGCACCCCTGTTGAACTGCTCCACTTTAAAGAACAAAGTTGTGAAAAGAGAGATCTAGATCAAGGGCAAGAAATTTTTTTTCTGTAAAAGGCCATATGGTAAATATCTTTGATTTTGGGCAACATTTTGGGGCATAATGGGTATTTTTTTATTGTAGTGATGGTTTCGCAACATACAATTTTAAAAATTATCAAATTTTACATTGTTTAAAAAATGATGGGTTCCTGCTATGTTGTCCAGGCTGGAGTGCAGTAGCTATTTACTGGTATGATCGCAGCCCACTACAGCCTCAAACTCCTGGGCTCAAGCAGTCCTCCTGCCTCAGCCTCCTGAATAGCTGGGACTACAGGCATGTATGCCACCTTTGCTTGGCCAAATTTTACATTTTAAACATGTGTGGTTTGTTGTGTGTCAGTTATACCCATTAAAAAGGTCATAGTATTTGCAGAAATACTAGACTTCTGTAGATGTAAAAAAGGGAATAATTGGGATTGATTCCTTCTATCAAGTCTCTATACTCTCAGTTATAGAATTTACTTTAGGCTGTAGTGACTTTCAGTAGGACACAGACTCTTGGAATGGAATATGCAGTGAATCTCAATTGTTTTTATTTGTTCAGCTTTCCTTCTTTCTTCTGTTAACAGCATCCCTACTCCTTTCAAGAATCTTTCTCTTTATGGTTACCTATCTATGTGATTACAGTGAGACTGCCAGTCACATTGTCTTAGCAAAAGAGGTAATGGTACCCTGTCCCCTTTCAATGGTTAGTGGTCCAATGGGTTGGCACAAGACTCAGGCAATGAAAACCCATTCCAGTTGAGAGGCTGAGGTGGGCGGATCACTTGAGGTCAGGAGTTCAAGACCAGCCTGACCAACATGGCAAAACCCCATCTCTACTAAAAATACAAAAATTAGCTGGGCATGGTGATGCACACCTGTAATCCCAGCTACTCGGGCGGCTGAGGCAGTGAGCCAGGAGGCAGAGGTTGCAATGAGCTGAGATCATGCCACTGCACTCCAGCCTGCAAAACAGAGGGAGACTCTGTCTCAAACAAAACAAAACAAAACAAAACAAGAACAAAACAAAATCTCATCCTGGAAGACATATAAAAATATATATATGAATATAATTCTGGACATGGATAAAGATATACAGAGATCTAGAGGTTTACTGAAGACAAATGAAAGAAGACTTTTCTTGCCTTTGGGGTGAATATCTGGGTTTTAAAACCCAAGATATTGATTGTGGGTACCTATATGGAAGAAACCCGAGGGCATTAAGAAAGAACTTACACATTCACTCATCTCATTGCGTATGCATTTTATTGCATCCTTACTATGTGTCAGTTACTGGTCAAGATGTTGGGAGCAGTGGCAAATAGGCAGAAAGAGAGGCATACTTGATGATGATTGAAAAGGAAGTCCAGGTGACATTGACTGGAATCTTAGATCTAGTCTCACCTGAGAACACATCCATTCTGCCTTTCACAGTTACGTAAGGCTATGTGATTTTCTCTTTGCTGAAGTTAGCTTGGATGTTGTTTCTGTCCCTTGCATGTGAAAGAATATTACCAACATAGAGGTTCAACAAGTGTCTTGGCAAGAATATAAAATGGGCCTGCGTAATTTGAAATGATATATTCAATAAATGTGCATTATTTATAATGCAAAACACAAAAAGTAGAGCTAAAAATTTTTGGCTAGTGGCGATATACATAATACAGAGTGAGAGGGTAATGTAAACTATTGTGTTTTTTTTCTGAAATAATAGTAATAGGCATCATTTTTAAGGCACCTAGTATGCCAAATACTTCTCAAACATATCTTTTTCAATCTTCAAAACTGTACTTCAAGGAAGACAATAATAGTTGGTTAAGATCTTGAGAGGATCAAATAAATAGAACCCTGCTTCTTTACCTAAGTTCTAAATAACCTGAGAAATAAGACAGTGGAGAAGAGAGAAGCAAAATATCACTTTTATTACTGAAAAAGATTAAGTTAGATGACTTAGATTAGCACAAGAGCCAAATGCTCCTGCACTGAACTTATCTAGTCACTTGAATGCTGTACCAATGTGGACTTCTCATTGTGGAAGCTGTCAAGGGAAGACTGAAAACACGGAAAAATAGTTCACTCCCAAATGGATAATCTGAGCCAAGAACATTTATTTTTACCAAATGTACCAATCAGATAAGTCATTTCACCTCCCCTGTGATAGACAAATTATAGGATGGAGAAAGGCTATAAGCACATCCCTATTTGAACCTCTCCTACTAGAAAGGAAACTTCAAAAGTGGGGAACTCTTTCCTCAACATAGTTTGATTTTACACATAATGAAAATGAAGCTCAGAAATGTTAAATGATTTGGCCAAGATCAGACATTTAATAAATGGCAGAACCAGGAATCAAGGTCTAGTTGACAACCAAGTTCTTCTCTTTCCATCACACTCTGCCTCTTGTCAACTTCTAAATGTTTGTGGGTAGCCCAGCATTGCCACTGCTAGGAATTTAGCCATCTATCCTCATTAGTGCACAAAGATATATCTAGAAAGGTATCTGCTGTAGCGTATTTTTAGTGGAAAAAATCAAAGAAACCCAAATTTCCTTCAACAGGGAATCATGAAATAAATTATGACTCATATGAAGAATAGAATGCCTTGTAGCATTTTTTTTTAAAATGAGGACCAATTATCTGCATATCAAATGGGAACAAAATAAGATAAAGTAAAAAAGCATGTGACAGGACACTGTGTAGACTGTGTTCCTGTTTGGGCATATTTCAAAAGTATCTATTCATATGTAATTAGAACATTTCTGTAAAAATATTTTCTAAAACTTATGGTTACCACTAGGTGTTCGAAGGAGTAGTGATCAGGGCATATTGAGTTTCTACACTTCAAACATTTCTCTAGTGTTTTTCCCTTCTTTTTCTTTTTTTGAGATATAATTAATATAGCATAAAACTCATGCCCTTATGGAGCACAGTGCGATTGGTCTTAGCAGGTTTAGAATGGTTGTGAAACTGTTACCACTCCACTAATTCCAGAACATTTTCATCATCAAAAAGAAACCCTCATACCTATTATCCATCACTCCCTGTTCCTTCATTTCCGCAATCCTGGCAACCACTGATCTACTTTTTAATATCTAAGGATTGCCTATTCTGGACATTTCATATAAATTGAATCATATAATATCTGGCTTCTTTCACTTAGTATAATGTTTTCAAGATTCACTCATGTAGTATTGTTAGTACTTTATTCTTTTTATGGCTCAATGTATGTGTATAGCACATTTTATTTATTCATTTATCAGTAGATGGATATTTAGGTTGTCTCTACTCTTTGTCTATTATAAAAATGCTGCTGTGGACATGCATTTACAAGTTTTTGTGTGGACATGCATTTTTAATTCTCTTGGGTATATAAAGAAATGGAATTGCTGGGTCATATAATAACTCTATGTCGAACTTTTATTTATTTTTTCTTCTGATAAAAGGGATACATGTGCAGAACGTGCAAGTTTGTAATATAGGTATACATGTGCCATGGCGGTTTGGCGCACCTGTTGACCGTTCCTCTAAGTTCCCTCCCGTCATCCCACCAGCAGGCCGTGGTGTATGTTTGTATGTTGTTATCCTGTCTGTCTCCATGTGTTCTCATTGTTCAACTTCCACTTATGAGTGAGAACATGTGGTGTTTGGTTTTCTGTTCCTGTGTTGTTTTGCTGAGGATGATGGCTTCCAGCTTCATCCATGTCCCTATAAAGAACATGATCTCATTCCTTTTTATGGCTGCATAGTATTCCATGGTGTATATGTACCACATTTTCTTTATCCAGTCTATCATTGATGGGCATTTGGGTTGGTTCCATGTCTTTGCTATTGTAAATAGTGCTGCAGTAAACATACGTGTGCATGTGTCTTTATAGCAGAATGATGTATATTCCTTTGGGTATATACCCAGTAACGGGATTTCTGGTTCTGGATCCTTGAGGAATTGCCATACTGTCTTCCACAATGGTTGAACTAATTTACATTCCCACCAAGAGTGTAACAGCCATCCTATTTCCCCACAGCCTTGCCAGCATAACTGCAACCTCTGCCTCCCAGGTTCAAGCGATTCTCCCGCCTCAGCCTCCTGAGTAGTTGGGACTACAGGTGCACGCCGCCAAGCCTGGGTAATTTTTGTATTTTCAGTAGAGATGGGGTTTCACCATGTTCGCCAGGCTGGTCTTGAACTCCTGACCTCAGGTGATCCACCCACCTCGGCCTCCCAAAATGCTGGGATTACATGCGTGAGCCACCGCACCTGGCCTGTCCCTGTCTTTTAATAGTTTGATTATGATGCATCCACATATTTATATCTCTTTGACTTTATCCAATTTCATTGTGTTTAGCTTCTTGGATACATAGGTTAATATTTTAAATTAAATTTGGGAGGTTTTGGCCATTTTTCCTTCAAATATTTTTTCTGCCCCTTTCTTCTCACTTCTCCTTCTGAGACTTTCATTATACATATGTTGATATGGTTGATGATGTCCCATAGGTTTCTGAGGCTGTCTGTCTCTCTGTCTTTTACATCTTTTCTTTCTGTTCCTCAGACTGGGTCATCTCAATAGTCTTCTTTTCAAGTTTGCTGGCTTATTCTTCTACAAGCTCAAATCTGTAATTAAGCCTCACTTCTGACCTTTTCATTTTAATTATTGAACTTTTCAACTCCAAAATTTCTACATATTTCTTTTTAATAGTCTTTATCCCTTCATTGATAGTCTCTATTTAGTGAGACATCATTCTCATACTTTCATTCTTTGAAAGTATTTTAAATCGCTGATTTATATTCTTTGCTTACTGATTCCAATATCTGGGCTGGTTCAGCAATAGTTTACATTGAATGCTTTTTGCTTCTGTGTATGAGCCAAACTTAATTGTTTCTTTGTATGTCTGGTGACTTTTTGTTAAGAACTGGACATTTAAAAAGTATAATGCTGTAACATTTGAAATAATAGTTGTCCCTTCCCTAAGGTTTGTAATTGTTGTTTCTGCATGCTTGTTTAGTAACTTTCTTGAACTAATTTTGTAAAGTTTGTATTCTTTTAAGTTTTGGCCAATAAAGTGTTTCCTTGGCTAGCTTAGAGGTTAGCTAATGATTGAACAAAAATTATCTTGAATGCCTGGAACCAGTAAGTCTCCCAACCTTTGCTCATTGGGTCTGTGTGTGATTTGGAGAACACTCTTAAAAAGTAAGGCGGGCAGTTTTTAAACTCTGTCTTAGCCTTCACTTCCTGTTCTTCCTGTTTATAGAGAGCCTCAAGATTAGTTAGTGGTGAGAGCTTAGAGTGAGGCCTTTTCAATTCTTTCTTGGGCACACACACAGCCCTGGGCGTATGTACAACTTTACATATGAACATAGCTTTCTGAATGCCCAGGAATATCTCAGAGCCTTTTAATCACAGCCTGTCCCCCAAGGAAATCTCATTCCCTATTTTTTCCTTTTAAGTTTTTCATTAGTTTCTAATTAGCCACAACTATTTTTGCTACCCTAGACAACTGTGATGTTAAGCAACTGCCACTGATTGTTTTCAGCAAATACTCCCAGGGGAAAGGCTGTTTGAAATGAAAGAGTTCTGAGTCATGTCAAATAAAGATAAGCCCCACAATTCATCATTTTTAGGTAGCTGCCATATGAGTCAAATGACGACAACTTTCCAAAAAAGGTGTTTTCGGGGAACTTAAAACCCATTCTGCCACTTCCAATGGTTGCTAGGCTGCTGGTTTTTACTGAGTTTAGAGGGCCCTTTTTAAGACTGCTGTGGTGCTAAGCAGAAGGGGGAGGGAATAGGGCAAATCAAAACACCAAAAATCTTGCTGTTCTTACTAAGATTCAGCCATTTATTTTAATGAACACTTCTTGGATTATTGTATTTGGTTAATTTCTAGAGTTTTGGAATTAGTGATTTTGACAACTTTTGCCAGTGTTCTTGTTGTTTTTATAGAAGAGCAAATTTTGGAAGTCTTTACTCCATCATTCCTGCCGATGTTGTCCTTTGTAGTGTTTAATTGTTTTAAATCTATGATCATGTATAGATTTTAAAATAAAACAAATAATACATAAAATAAATGAGAAAAAACGGGGGAGGATCCAAGATGGCCGAATAGGAACAGCTCCGGTCTACAGCTACCAGCGTGAGCGACACAGAAGGCGGGTGATTTCTGCATTTCTATCTGAGGTACTGGGTTCATCTCACTAGGGAGTTCCAGACAGTGGGCGCAGGTCAGTGGGTGCAGCGCACTGTGCGTGAGCCGAAGCAGGGTGAGGCATTGCCTCACTCGGGAAGTGCAAGGGGTCAGGGAGTTCCCTTTCCTAGTCAAAGAAAAGGGTGACAGACGGCACCTGGAAAATCGGGTCACTCCCACCCGAATACTGCGCTTTTCCAATGGGCTTAAAAAACGGCGCACCAGGAGATTATATCCCGCACATGGCTCGGAGGGTCCTATGCCCATGGAGTCTCGCTGATTGCTAGCACAGCAGTCTGAGATCAAACTGCAAGGTGGCAGCAAGGTTGGGGGAGGGGCGCCCGCCATTGCCCAGGCTTGCTTAGGTAAACAAAGCAGCCAGGAAGCTCGAACTGGATGGAGCCCACCACAGCTCAAGGAGGCCTGCCTGCCTCTGTAGGCTCCACCTCTGGGGGCAGGGCACAGACAAACAAAAAGACAGCAGTAACCTCTGCAGACTTAAATGTCCCTGTCTGACAGCTTTGAAGAGAGCAGTGGTTCTCCCAGCACACAGCTGGAGATCTGAGAACAGGCAGACTGCCTCCTCAAGTGTGTCACTGACCCCTGAACCCTGAGCAGCCTAACTGGGAGGCACCCCCCAGTAGGGGCAGACTGACACTTCACACGGCTGGGTACTCCTCTGAGACAAAACTTCCAGAGGAACGATCAGACAGCAGCATTCGCGGTTCATGAAAAACCACTGTTCTGCAAACACCGCTGTGGATACTCAGGCAAACAGAGTCTGGAGTGGACCTCTAGCAAACTCCAACAGACCTGCAGCTGAGGGTCCTGTGTGTTAGAAGGAAACTAACAAACAGAAAGGACATCCACACCAAAAACCCATCTGTACATCACCATCATCAAAGACCAAAAGTAGATAAAACCACAAAGATGGGGAAAAAACAGAGCAGAAAAACTGGAAACTCTAAAAAGTAGAGCACCTGTCCTCCTCCAAAGGAATGCAGTTCCTCAACAGCAATGGAACAAAGCTGGACGGAGAATGACTTTGACGAGCTGAGAGAAGCAGGCTTCAGACTATCAAATTATGAGCTACAGGAGGAAATTCAAACCAAAGGCAAAGAAGTTAAAAACTTTGAACAAAATTTAGACAAATGTATAACTAGAATAACCAATACAGAGAAGTGCTTAAAGGAGCTGATGGAGCTGAAAGCCAAGGCTTGAGAACTACGTGAAGAATGCAGAAGCCTCAGGAGCCGATGGGATCAACTGGAAGAAAGGGTATCAGTGATGGAAGATGAAATGAATGAAATGAAGCAAGAAGGGAAGTTTAGAGAAAAAAGAATAAAAAGAAACGAACAAAGCCTCCAAGAAATATGGGACTATGTGAAAAGACCAAATCTATGTCTGATTGGTGTACCTGAAAGTGACAGGGAGAATGGAACCAAGTTGGAAAACACTCTGCAGGATATTATCCAGGAGAACTTCCCCAATCTAGCAAGGCAGGCCAACATTCAGATTCAGGAAATACAGAGAACGCCACAAAGATACTCCTCGAGAAGAGCAACTCCAAGACACATAATTGTCAGATTCACCAAAGTTGAAATGAAGGAAAAAATGTTAAGGGAAGCCAGAGAGAAAGGTCGGGTTACCCACAAAGGGAAGCCCATCAGACTAACAGCGGATCTCTCAGCAGAAACTCTACAAGCCAGAAGAGAGTGGGGGCCAATATTCAACATTCTTAAAGAAAGAATTTTCAGTGCAGAATCTCATATCCAGCCAAACTAAGCTTCATAAGTGAAGGAGAAATAAAATCCTTTACAGACAAGCAAATGCTGAGAGATTTTGTCACCACCAGGCCTGCTCTAAAAGAGCTCCTGAAGGAAGCACTAAACATGGAAAGGCACAACCGGTACCAGCCGCTGCAAAATCATGCCAAAATGTAAAGACCATCGAGACTAGGAAGAAACTGCATCAACTAATGAGCAAAATAAACAGCTAACATCATAATGACAGGATCAAATTCACACATAACAATATTAACTTTAAATGTAAATGGACTAAATGCTCCAATTAAAAGACACAGACTGGCAAATTGGATAAAGAGTCAAGACCCATCAGTGTGCTGTATTCAGGAAACCCATCTCACATGCAGGGACACACATAGGCTCAAAATAAAAGGATGGAGGAAGATCTACCAAGCAAATGGAAAACAAAAAAAGGCAGGGGTTGCAATCCTAGTCTCTGATAAAACAGACTTTAAATCAACAAAGATCAAAAGAGACAAAGAAGGCCATTACATAATGGTAAAGGGATCAATTCAACAAGAAGAGCTAACTATCCTAAATATATATGCACCCAATACAGGAGCACCCAGATTCATAAAGCAAGTCCTGAGTGACCTACAAAGAGACTTAGACTCCCACAAGTTAATAATGGGAGAATTTAACACCCCACTGTCAACATTAGACAGCTCAATGAGACAGAACGTTAACAAGGATATCCAGGAATTGAACTCAGCTCTGCACCAAGCGGACCTAATAGACATCTACAGAACTCTCCACCCCAAATCAACAGATTATACATTTTTTTCAGCACCACACAACACCTATTCCAAAATTGACCACATAGTTGGAAGTAAAGCTCTCCTCAGTAAATGTAAAAGAACAGAAATTATAACAAACTATCTCTCAGACCACAGTGCAATCAAACTAGAACTCAGGATTAAGAAACTCACTCAAAACCGCTCAATTACATGGAAACTGAACAACCTGCTCCTGAATGACTACTGGGGACATAACAAAATGAAGGCAGAAATAAAGATGTTCTTTGAAACCAACGAGAACAAAGACACAACATACCAGAATCTCTGGGACACATTCAAAACAGTGTGTAGAGGGAAATTTATAGCACTAAATGTCCACAAGAGAAAGCAGGAAAGATCCAAAATTGACACCCTAACATCACAATTAAAAGAACTAGAAAAACAAGAGCAAACACATTCAAAAGCTAGCAGAAGGCAAGAAATAACTAAAATCAGAGCAGAACTGAAGGAAATAGAGACACAGAAAACCCTTCAAAAAACTAATGAATCCAGGAGCTGGTTTTTTGAAAGGATCAACAAAATTGATAGACTGATAGCAAGACTAATAAAGAAAAAAAGAGAGAAGAATCAAACAGATGCAATAAAAAATGATAAAGGGGATATCACCACCAATCCCACAGAAATACAAACTACCATCAGAGATTACTATAAACACCTCTACACAAATAAACTAGAAAATCTAGAAGAAATGGATAAATTCCTTGACACATACACTCTGCCAAGACTAAACCAGGAAGGAGTTGAATCTCTGAATAGACCAATAACAGGAGCTGAAATTGAGGCAATAATCAATAGCTTACCAACCAAAAAGAGTCCAGGACCAGATGGATTCACAGCCGAATTCTACCAGAGGTACAAGGAGGAACTGGTATCATTCCTTCTGAAACTATTCCAATCAATAGAAAAAGAGGGAATCCTCCCTAACTCATTTTATGAGGCCAGCATCATCCTGACACCAAAGCCGGGCAGAGACACAACAAAAAAGAGAATTTTACCTCCCCCTCCCCCTCCCCCTCCCCCTCTCGGTCTCCCTCTCTTTCCACAGTCTCCCTCTGATGCTGAGCCGAAGCTGGAGTATACTGCTGCCATCTCTCCTCACTGCAAACTCCCTGCCTGATTCTCCTGCCTCAGCCTGCCGAGTGCCTGCGATTGCAGGCGCGTGCCGCCATGCCTGACTGGTCTCCATATTTCGCTGGGTTGGCCGGGCTGGTCTCCAGCTCCTAACCGCGAGTGATCCGCCAGCCTCGGCCTCCCGAGGTGCCGGGATTGCAGACGGAGTCTCGTTAACTCAGTGCTCAATGGTGCCCAGGCTGGAGTGCAGTGGCGTGATCTCACCTCGCTACAACCTCCACCTCCCAGCTGCCTGCCTTGGCCCCCCAAAGTGCCGAGATTGCAGCCTCTGCCCGGCCGCCACCCCGTCTGGAAGTGAGGAGCGTCTCTGCCTGGCCGCCCATCGTCTGGGATGCGAGGGGCCCCCCTGCCTGGCTGCCCAGTCTGGAAAGTGAGGAGCGTCTCTGCCCGGCCGCCATCCCACCTAGGAAGTGAGGAGCGCCTCTTCCCGGCCGCCATCCCATCTAGGAAGTGAGGAGGGTCTCTGCCCGGCCACCCATCATCTTTGATGTGGGGAGCGCCTCTGCCCCGCCGCCCCGTCTGGGATGTGAGGAGCGCCTCGGCCCAGCCGCGACCCCGTCTGGGAGGTGAGGAGCGTCTCTGCCCAGCCGCCCCGTCTGAGAAGTGAAGAGACCCTCCGCCTGACAACTGCCCCGTCTGAGAAGTGAGGAGCCCCTCCGCCCGGCAGCCGCCCCATCTGAGAAGTGAGGAGCCCCTCCGCCTGGCTGCCACCCCGTCTGGGAAGTGAGGAGTGTCTCCACCTGGCAGCCACCCTGTCCGGGAGGGAGGTGGGGGTCAGCCCCCGCCAGGCCAGCCGCCCCGTCCGGGAGGGAGGTGGGGGGTCAGCCCCCCGCCCGGCCAGCCGCCCCGTCCGGGAGGTGAGGGGCGCATCTGCCCGGCCGCCCCTACTGGGAAGTGAGGAGCCCCTCTGCCCAGCCAGCCGCCCCGTCTGGGAGGGAGGTGGGGGAGTCAGCCACCCGCCCGGCCAGCCGCCCCCTCCGGGAGGGAGGTGGGGGGGTCAGCCCCCTGCCCGGCCAGCCACCCCGTCCGGGAGGGAGGTGGGGGGGTCAGCCCCCCACCCGGCCAGCCGCCCCGTCTGGGAGGTGAGGGGCGCCTCTGCCCGGCCCCCCCTACTAGGAAGTGAGGAGCCCCTCTGCCCGGCCACCACCCCGTCTGGGAGGTGTACCCAACAGCTCATTGAGAACGGGCCATGATGACAATGGCGGTTTTGTGGAATAGAAAAGGGGGAAAGGTGGGGAAAAGATTGAGAAATTGGATGGTTGCTGTGTCTGTGTAGAAAGAAGTAGACATGGGAGACTTTTCATTTTGTTCTGTACTAAGAAAAATTCTTCTGCCTTGGGATCCTGTTGATCTATGACCTTACCCCCAACCCTGTGCTCTCTGAAACATGTGCTGTGTCCACCCAGGGTTAAATGGATTAAGGGCGGTGCAAGATGTGCTTTGTTAAACAGATGCTTGAAGGCAGCATGCTCGTTAAGAGTCATCACCACTCCCTAATCTCAAGTACTCAGGGACACAAACACTCTGCCTAGGAAAACCAGAGACCTTTGTTCACTTGTTTATCTGCTGACCTTCCCTCCACTATTGTCCTATGACCCTGCCAAATCCCCCTCTGTGAGAAACACCCAAGAATGATCAATTAAAAAAAAAAAAAAAAGAGAATTTTAGACAAATATCCTTGATGAACATTGATGCAAAAATCCTCAATAAAATACTGGCAAACCGAATCCAGCAGCACATCAAAAAGCTTCTCCACCATAATCAAGTGGGCTTCATCCCTGGGATGCAAGGCTGGTTCAATAAATGCAAATCAATAAATGTAATCTATCATATAAACAGAACCAAAGACAAAACCCACATGATTATCTCAATAGATGCAAAAAGGCCTTTGACAAAATTCAACAACCCTTCATGCTAAAAACTCTCAATAAATTAGGTATTGATGGGACGTATTTCAAAATAATAAGAGCTATCTATGACAAACCCACAGCCAATATCATACTGAATGGGCAAAACCTGGAAGAATTCCCTTTGAAAACTGGCACAAGACAGGGATGCCCTCTCTCACCACTCCTATTCAACATAGTGTTGGAAGTTCTGGCTAGGGTAATTAGGCAGGAGAAGGAAATAAAGGGTATTCAATTAGGAAAAGAGGAAATCAAATTGTCCCTGTTTGCAGACGACATGATTGAATATCTAGAAAACCCCATTGTCTCAGCCCAAAATCTCCTTAAGCTGATAAGCAACTTCAGCAAAGTCTCAGGATACAAAATCAATGTACAAAAATCACAAGCATTCTTATACACCAATGACAGACAAACAGAGAGCCAAATCATGAGTGAACTCCCATTCACAATTGCTTCAAAGAGAATAAAATACCTAGGAATCCACCTTACAAGGGACGTGAAGGACCTCTTCAAGGAGAACTACAAACCACTGCTCAATGAAATAAAAGAGGATACAAACAAATGGAAGAACATTCCATGCTCATGGGTAGGAAGAATCAATATTGTGAAAATGGCCATACTGCCCAAGGTAATTTATAGATTCAATGCCATCACCATCAAGCTACCAATGACTTTCTTCACAGAATTGGAAAAAACTACTTTAAAGTTCATATGGAAACAAAAAAGAGCCCGCATTGCCAAGTCAATCCTAAGCCAAAAGAACAAAGCTGGAGGCATCACGCTACCTGACTTCAAACTATACTACAAGGCTACAGTAACCAAAACAGCATGGTACTGGTACCAAAACAGAGATATAGACCAATGGAACAGAACAGAGCCCTCAGAAATAACACCGTATATCTACAACTATCTGATCTTTGACAAACCTGAGAAAAACAAGCAATGGGGAAAGGATTCCCTATTTAATAAATGGTGCTGGGAAAACTGGCTAGCCATAGGTAGAAAGCTGAAACTGGATCCCTTCCTTACACCTTATACAAAAATCAATTCAAGATGGATTAAAGACTTAAATGTTAGACCTAAAACCATAAAAACCCTAGAAGAAAACCTAGGCATTACCATTCAGGACATAGGCATGGGCAAGGACTTCATGTCTAAAACACCAAAAGCAATGGCAACAAAAGCCAAAATTGACAAATGGGATCTAATTAAACTAAAGAGCTTCTGCAAGGCAAAAGAAACTACCATCAGAGTGAACAGGCAACCCACAAAATGGGAGAAAATTTTCGCAACCCTACTCATCTGACAAAGGGCTAATACCCAGAATCTACAATGAACTCAAACAAATTTAGAAGAAAGAAACAAACAATCCCATCAAAAAGTGGGTGAAGGATATGAACAGACACTTCTCAAAAGAAGACATTTATGCAGTCAAAAAACACATGAAAAAATGCTCACCATCACTGGCCATCAGAGAAATGCAAATCAAAACCACAATGAGATATCATCTCACACCAGTTAGGATGGCAATCATTAAAAAGTCAGGAAACAACAGGTGCTGGAGAGGATGTGGAGAAATAGGAACACTTTTACACTTTTGGTGGGACTGTAAACTAGTTCAACCATTGTGGAAGTCAGTATGGCGATTCCTCAGGGATCTAGAACTAGAAATACCATTTGATCCAGCCATCCCATTACTGGGTACATACCCAAAGGAATATAAATCATGCTGCTATAAAGACACATGCACACGTATGTTTATTGCGGCACTATTCACAATAGCAAAGAGTTGGAACCAACCGAAATATTCAACAATGATAGACTGGATTAAGAAAATGTGGCACATATACACCATGGAATACTATGCAGCCATAAAAAATGATGAGTTCATGTCCTTTGTAGGGACATGGATGAAATTGGAAATCATCTTTCTCAGTAAACTATCGCAAGAACAAAAAACCAAACACCGCATATTCTCACTCATAGGTGGGAATTGAACAATGAGAACACATGGACACAGGACTGTTGGGGACTGTTGTGGGGTGGGGGAGGGGAGGGATAGCATTGGGAGATATACCTAATGCTAGATGACGAGTTAGTGGGTGCAGTGCACCAGCATGGCACATGTATACATACGTAACTAACCTGCACAATGTGCACATGTACCCTAAAACTTAAAGTATAATAATAAAAAAAAAATGAGAAAAAACATAAAGCAAGTTCCAAAATTTGGTTAAGTTTTGGAACTTTGAGAACACAATTGCTCTTTCTGTATAACTTGGGGGTAGGAAGCAAACTCTAATCCCTGGAGAGGTATGTGTAGACCCAAGTATACCACATGCAGGAGTTTCAGGCAAAATACCAGTTAAAATGGAATTTCAGATAAAAGCAAATAATATTCTAGTATATGTATGTCCCCAATATTTGATGGAATATGCTTATACTAAAATTTTGTTTGTTATTTATCTGTAATTCAAATTAATTGGGGCATTCTAGGTTTATGTTGTTGTTGTTGCTGTTTGTTTGTCTTTGCGAAATCTTGCGACCCTACCCACAAACAATACAAGTTCTGGCACTGCAAGAAACAGGAAGGCCTTCCCCTTGTATGTGTGGGCCTCTGGGAAGGCTTGCAGAGCACTTCTCAGCTGTCAGTGGAAGCCATGATGGAGGTAAAGAAGCTACTGATTGTACATCGGCCTGAGGGCAGATGAGTTTCCCCACTGTGGGCGAGGAGAGGAACAATGCAAGCCAGCTGTGTTGTGAAGCTCTGATTCTTCAGCCTTCATGCTCCCAGCATCCATTCACACCCCAAACAGAACTCCAGCCTGGGCATCTTTCCTGGGAAAGCCCCTTGCTAGGAAAACCACATTCTCCAAGATTCCAGAGGTCTGCCTCCTCTTTGCCTTTGTTTCTCAAACTTCTGCTGTTTTCAGGTCTGCCCTTGGATTCTACATATTTTTTTGCCCTTTTTTTAACTTTTAGTTTTAATTGGCACTTAATTGTAAATATTTATGGGGTACAGTGATATTTTGATACATATCTACGTGTGTAATGATCAAAACAGGGTAATTAGGATATCTATCACTTCAAACATTTATTATTTCTTTGTGTTGGGAATACTGAAAATCCTCTTCCAGCTATATAAAAATATACAATAAATTAATGTTAACTGTATTCATTCCACTGTGCTGTAGAACACTAGAACTTATTCCTGCTATCTAGCTGTAATTTTTTTTTTTTTTTGAGATGGAGTCTTGCTCTGTCACCTAGGCTGGAGTGCAGTGGCATGATCTTGGCTCACTGCAACCTCTACCTCCTGGGTTCAAGCGATTCTCCTGTGTCAGCCTCCTAAGTAGCTGAGATTACAGGTGCCTGCCACCACACCTGGCTAATTTTTGTATTTTTAGTAGAGATGGGGTTTTACCATGTTGGCCAGACTGGTCTTGAACTCCTGACCACAGGTGATCCACCCACCACAGCCTCCCAATCTAGCTGTAATTTTTTAACCAACTTATTACTATCCTTCCCTCCCCCTCCTCTTCCCAGCCTCTAATAACCATAACTCCATTCTCTACTTCTATGATTTCAACTGTTTTAGCTCCCACATATGACATGGACTCTGTATTTCACTTTTGAAGAAGATCCCATGAATGTGGGTTGGTTATGAGCCCCAGCCAAAGCCCCACGTTCATTCAGTGTCAGGAAAAGTATAATGTCCACTAAAAATAACTAGTTTTGATCTCATTTATGTAATATATACACATATCATATATTATATACACATATATTACGTGTAATACATATGATCTCTATCTTGATCTGTATCTATCTGTTTAAACTATTTTACAAATGTATATTTCTTAAAATTTTTTTAATTGAAGTTTTATTGAAGTATAACATATATGCAGAAATCATTAGTATAAAGCCCAATAAATTCTCATGAATGAATCTTGAATTATGAATGCACTTTTAACCAAATTCAAGATGGAGCATCTAGACTGTGAAAGATTTTTTTCTCTCCTCTTTCCCAGAATCCTTACATGTGCTTAGAGACCTAGTTGCTTCTCTAGTCCCAGGATTTCTCTCATCTAAAGCACTAAAGTATTTTTTGTGTACCATTACGTATCAGCTGTCAAATGCTAGTTTGAATCATGATCTATCTTGATATGGATGTGCCCTGTGTCCTCAATTGTACTGTGAGCTCCTTGATGTAGGAACCAAGTATGTTCCTCTTTATACCCCCACTCCTTAGCATTGTGCTGCACAGTTCAATGAGTTTTGAGTGATAATCGTATGACTGGTATTGATGCATAATATATAGAATTAGCTCCATAGGTAGCCCTTGGGTTGTCCAGTCTTGATTTTAGTTGAGTCAAAGAGAGAATTCTTTCTAAGTTCCTTTTAGCCCTAGGATTGTTTTTTGTCTTAATGAACAGAATTTCATTCTGTTCCAGCACATGAGGCAATACCATAGGTTTGAGTTGACCACAAAATACTTCTTATATTGTTTACAATGCCAATTTCCCATCATCCCCTAACCTCATATGGAAGATTGTTTCTGATGAAGTAATGGGCAATTTCCAAACCCTTGAGGCTTATTTAGAAAGCCTGTATCCAGGGTACCAAAAGCTGCCAATCAGTTGAACCTCTGGATAATGATGATCCCAAATCTTGTTTGATTTTTAAAAAGGTATTACTGCCTTTCAAACTGAGCCAGAAAATCAATGCAGTGCAATTTGCAATGATTCCAATAGGCTTTCTCATCACAGCATCCCAGTTTCTTTGGAAGATAAACAGCCCTAATTAAAATGTGTTAAGAAATTTTTGTCTTGAGCTTCTCAAGAGCATTCCTCATTTTTGGTTTATTTTTCATAAAAATTTACTGAAAGCCCTATTTTATTTATCTATTATTAAATTCTTCATTTATAGCAGTATGAAGACTATTAAGAATTGGATTATCACCATGACCCATGGGCATTTTAATTTTTAATGGAGACCAGGGGTTTACCCCAGTCTTGATTGTGTAAAATATCTTCCCAACTTTGAATTGTGAAAGATGCCCAGGAATGAGCCATTTTCATTACAGCAAAGCAGAGGCTCTTTTGCTGTTGTTCATAATCCATTGCATGCCCCCAGGCAGAAGCAATTTTCTTTCACAGAGCTCCTTACCTGGATACACATTTCCAATTTTTTGTTTGTTTGTTTGTTTTTGAGACTGAGTCTCGCACTGTTGCCCAAGCTGGAGTGCAGTGGTGCAATCTCAGCTCAGCTCACTCCAACCTCCGCCTTCCAGATTCAAGTGATGAATGTGCCTCAGCCTCCCGAGGATATACATTTCTAATCTGTTTTATTTTATAAACTGGGGAGGCCTTTGTTTATAGTAATAAGAAGATAGTTTTCTGAAGAGTTCTGTTTTTGGTTAAACCCCTCAATACCAGTTGAACCCAGAATGGCTTTTCTATAGAGAACATAAACACAAGCTATATTTGTTTGAATCCTTTCAAGAGCAACAATACTTTCTTCATATTCTCACAACCTCGGGAGTCAAGATTCCTGAATCCAAGCATATCGCTGGTACTTACCAGCTGTGTGTCCTTGTGGCAGATTGCTTAATCTCTTTTGTTTCCTCCTCTACAAAATGAAGATTATAATAGTACTGATTTCACAGTGGTGTAATAAGGATTAAGTGAAAGAACAAAATTAGAGTGCTTAGCACACTTCACTCAGTAAAAGCTCAACAAATGTTAGCTATTGTTATTTCCACTGTATTGGGCTTTTTATTCAAATCCATGGAGTTTTTAGAGACAGAAATTCAGAGAAATTCCATAGTTACAGAGAACCACCATCAAATCTTTCAAACCTTTGCTCCCAGAAATACTCATATTTCTATTGAGGCCTTGATGTTTTTCCAGCTAACTTACTGTTGTTTCCTATCACTGGTATCCCACGAATAATACCATTCCCTTCTCCATTTCTTGTAACCAAATATGGCAAAACCTCTCCAACAGAAAGCTAGGAAAAGGGGGTGAAACAGAACCAGAGCAAAATTAACTAAACACTCTTTGTCCCTTTTCCAAGTATTTCTGGCAACTTGCAGTTAGTGTCAATGCTAGTTAAACTGAGTGTTTTCAGAGATACAGGTAAATGCCTATCTTCACACAGAGTTGACATTTTCATCTCAGTAGGAGATATATATATATATATATATATATATATATATATATATATATAAAGCACTGTGACATTAGGTTGAGTTGTTGGTACTCTCCCAAGATAGTTTATGTTGAAAGAAGCTGTGGAGTTATTGAAAATGCCTCTTTTGTCTGCATAGATTCCAAGCAAGATATACCCTGGGGGTGGATAGAAATACTCTGAGTCAGGGGGCAGAGAGCAACTTCTGTATGACTACAGAAGTTAAATGCACCAACTGATATCACTAACAATAACGAATAAGCACCCTGGGAAAATTATACTAAAGATTACACAGATATGTGACAGGGCTTATGTCACATGACACAGCATGTTGTCAAGCCGTGGAGCAGCCATCCCAGTTGAAGAAACCAGTGATAACCTGTAGCTTTTATATATTCATGTTTCTCAGGCAATGGATCATGTTGTCCATTTTCAGTATAATGAGATTAATTAACCCATTTGTCATTTCACATGTATCTATCTTTTTGAAAATTATTTGTAAAGGGATGGCCAAGACTCGTTGTGGTGAATATTCCTCCTGGAATCCTTTTCCAATAGATGCTTTACTTTTCCCTTGCTAGATAACAAAATTTTGAGAAAGCAATGGAATTGCTGGCTGTGACCTGTGGAAACTTCTAGATTTATTGTTAGAAGGCAAGTCAAAGCACATAATAAATGACACTATCTATAATTGTACGGTGAACATGTGCAATTGTACATGATGGCTCATAAGTTGCCTGAGTGACTTATCTGTTAGTGAGTTTGAGTAACTGAGTAGGTGTAACTCATTCTCTTCATCCTTATTTATTTGGGATCTGCCTTTCTGCAGGGACATTTTCCATGTTGTAAATTTTACAAGGGAGTCCCCATCTCTTCTGCAGGCCTACAGATTTCCAGTTCTGCTTGTGATTGAGCTGGTGAGTTTAATTCTGGGGTGCAATATTAGAAAGCCCTCTGTTGCCATATAGCTAAACCTCATTCTCCAACTAGATTGCTCCTTTAGGGCTTCATCTGTGTTATTTCTGAGTCTCTTTCTTAACCAATTCTGAACTTGGGCAGAGAAAAAGAGAGCCATATTACTGAACCTTTAAATCCCCAACTTTTATCATTTATTGAGCAACTACTATGTGCCAGGCTCTCTGATCACATCATCTCATTTAATCTTCACTATGCCTGTGAGTTTTACATTGCTATCCCCATTTTGCAGAAGATTTGGGGCCAGGGACATTCAGTGAATATCAATAAGGGGCGGAGCTGGAATTTAAGTGCACAGCCTTCTGATTTCAAAATTTGCAGCAGTTTCCAAACAATTTCTACAAATAAAAGATTTCAAATCCATCATGAGAAACAGGAAACAGATAAGATGCTTTGGGTTGTTGTGTGGGTGGGGTCTCAGAGTTCCACTCATCTCATTTCCCCACCCTTCCTTCTCTGTGGCAACCCTGAGTTGTGTTCCTATGGCTTTTCTAAGCATAGTTTGCAATACACTGCGTTTCTGGATTTCTAAGGGATCTTTCCAACAAGATCGCTCAAGCAGGGGGCTTCCAAGAATTGGTGTACAGTTCTCAGTTCTCAGTCCCAAGTAGAGCTAGAGGTATACTTAGAAGAAGTCACTCCTAATAATCAGATCCTTGCCTGTGTGTGCTTAGACATGAGCTGCCCTGGTCCTGGCCTGCCAGGCTGTGAGGAAAGATGAGATGTGATGCAGCTCAGCTCTTTGAACTACCCCGAAGGCCAGCCCACTCCTTCCCACATGTGGGGAGTGCTGAGGGCTGAACAGAAAAGAGCAGGGTCTGCAAGGAAGGAGACAGCCTCTAGAAGGCTCTTCATTACGCTGAAGGACAGCCACACGTGGATGGGGCACATTTCCAATGGAAAGGAGTACAAAGCAAGGAAGAACAAATGGTCACATGTACAATTATTTCCTTTTGTGCAAGTGAAAGGTCTAATTTACAAATCCTGCAAACCATACTGACTGTGGAAAGATTTGGCCATATGGAAAAGTTTCCTACTGTTGCCTTGGCTGGAGAACATTTGTAGTTTAGACTGATTGTCAGAGATTAGTCACGGGGATGTACAACATGAAGTCAGCCTTGCTCCCCTACGTGGGGGCAGAGCTAGCTTCAATCACAAGTTGTTTCTGTGAATGTTTACTCCCTCATTTCCTCTCAGAGGAGAATAGTTTCTGAGCCTTTCTAGTAACCAAGTCTTTGTTCAGTAACTAAGAAACATCACTTTGTAGAAGCCTCTAATAATTATCCTCATGACGCTCATCTTAACAGGTGTTACACTGCTTGCCTTAATTAAGCAGAGGCTGCTTTCATTCCAGAAAGCTTTTATGATTTTAATTTACATTCTGATGGATGCTACATGTGCAGGCTCTGAAAGTTTTTTGTTCTTTTTTTTTTTTTTTTCTGAGTTGGAGTCTCACTCTTGTCCAGGCTGGAGTTCAATGGCGCGATCTCAGTTCACTGCAACCTCCACCTCCCAGGTGCAAGTGATTCTCCTGCCTCATCCTCCCAAGTAGCTGGGATTACTGGCATGTGCCACCATGCCCAGCTAATTTTGTATTTTTAGTAGAGACAGTGTTCCCCATGTTGGCCAGGCTGGTCTTGAACTCCTGACCTCAGGTAATCCATCCACCTCGGCCTCCCAAAGTGCTGGGATTATAGGTGTGAGCCACTGCGCCCAGCCTGTTTTCATTTATGGAGTAAGACACTCACTGATGAATGGTCCTATGCTTGTATGTCTTTGTATATGCTTGGTCTGAAAATTGACAAAGGGCTCAACAGCCCCATTCAAGAGTAGAGAAGAAAAATTCAGGGTTTTTCTACAGTGGTAATACCCAGAGGCAATTGGTCCAGTTATTATTAATGTGTAGTGAATGTCCCCATTATTTAGCAGCTTAAGACAATTATTGTATTTTGAGAGTCAGGTTTAGAAACAGTTTGACAGTTCTCACTGTCTCTCATGTGGTTGCAGTCAGATATTGGCTGGGGTTGCAGTCACCTGAAGGTTTGACTGAGCTGGATGTCCAAGGTGGCTCATGCACATGGCTGATAGTTGACACTGGCTGGGTTTTTTTTTTTTTTTTTTTTGCTTTTTAACTTTAATTTTTTGTAGAGATGGGGTTCTGCCATGTTGACCAGGTCAGTCTTAAACTCCTGATCTCAAGTGATACCCATCATGACAGCCTCTCAGAGTGTTGGTATCACAGCATGAGCCATTGTGCCCAACACTGGCTGTTGACTGGTTCAGCTGGGACTGTTGACCAGAGGCCCACAAACACATGGCACCTCCAGCACAGCAATCCCATGGTCCTAGGATAGTCCAAGTTCTTAGATGGTGGCAGAGGCAGGCTCTCCTAGATTGAGCACCCTAAGAGAATCAGGTAGAAGCAGCATGGCCTTTGCTGACAGCCTCAGAAGTTATGCCACATCACTTCCATTGCTTTCCATTGGCTACAGCTGAGTCACAAGATAGGCCAGAAGTCAAGGGGAAAACATATAGTTGACCTGTCTCGATGAGAAGCTTATCAAAGAATTTCACTTACTATGTGCATTCTCCCAGATGACTGAGCCCAGAGATAAGACTTTTCCCCTTTGCCGCTTTTCTAGCTAAATAGTAGATTTTCCCTGTCTTTTCCCTTATTTGTCCAGTACTGAAGAAAGGAACTTTATCCAGTATACATTTTTTACCTTTAAATTCTCAGTTAAAGAGAAGGAAAGATGCATCTCTGTTGTTTATTCATTGATTTGACAAATGTGTGTTATTTATAAATGGGTGTCTCCCTCCAACAAACTCATGACACAGCACAGAAAGACAGAAAGCCATGTGTTTTTAGTAATTCTATCTCCATGTGTGCAACTTGCAATAATAGCTACTATATGAGTGCTAAGAACAATGTTATAGGAATTGGAAGGCAGTGGTTATTTCTGAGATTGGAGGGAGGAGAAAGGAAAGGCAGCTTTTAAGGAGCCTCATTGGAGTCAGTCATTGCAGTGTTTGGGGGCTGGATCTCACAGACACCTGGCTTAGAATCAGGTATTTGAAGTGGAGGAAGAAAAATGTAGAAAGAGATTTATTCTGGAATTTTTAACTTTCTGCCTTATGCCTAGAGCTCTGCCTGGGAGAAAGTGGATATTAATAAATGCTATTTGACAAGCAAGACTCAAAGTCTAATGAAACTATAAACTATTTCAAAATTACAAACATCTGGCTTCCCCATGTGTTCCTTGTCAGTAAACTGCAAATAACTTAATGTGACCAGCAAAATATTCAAAGCCAAGGCTGTCTGAGCTGCTCAGTGGCCATGTCTTTTTCATGTATTCATCTATGCAGTAAGTAGTTATTGAGCACTGGCCATGTGTCAGGAATGTACTAATAGGGATAAATTGGTGAGCATGATATATTGCATCAACCTTGGTTTTGGAACATGGTTCTGTTTTGTTCAACTATGCTGAACTTGTATAAAGGGAATTGATTAACATTCAACTCAAAACTAAATGGGAGTACTCCTTTCTGGGAGGGAAGTTGATATGGCTTAGATATCATCAAACCTACACATGGTGAGAATTATACCATCAGAACCACATAGTGAAGCCCCAGATGCTGGTGTTAGTGCTGGTGTTTGTGCAGCATGTTGCCAGATTAGAATTTTGACTTTGAATAAGAGTGCAGAGATCAGAAGGATCAATGGTGAACCCTTCCTCATATTTTCTCCCAGTGTCATAGAGGAAAATCAATTGGCTATTAATGGAAAACTGAAGACAAGCTACTGCCTTAAACCAAACTTTAACTGGCACTGTCCCTAATGAACAGAACTTCATATTATGTTTTTTAAAAGTTAAAAATCTCAATGAACAAAGACATCTTCTTTTTTTTTTTTTTTTTTTTTGGAGATGGAGTCTCACTCTGTTGCCCAGGCTGGAGTGCAGTGGAATGGTTTCGGCTCACTGCAACCTCTGCCTCCCGGGTTCAAGTGATTCTCCTGCCTCAGCCTCCTGAGTAGCTGGGATTACAAGCATGTGCCACCATGCCCAGCTAATTTTTGTATTTTTAGTAGAGACGGGGTTTTGCCATGTTGGCCAGGCTGGTCTCGAACCCCTGACCTCAGGTGATACACCTTGGCCTCCCAAAGTGCTAGGATTACAGGAATGAGCCACCATGCCTAGCCAGACAAAGACATTTTCAATGCTGTATTCCCTTTAGTTCTTCTCATCAAAATGATATGATCCTCCCCGTGTAAGCTGTATATCCTGATCTATTTTCAGATTTATATTTTATATTGTTTGCTGTGATTCATCTTGTTTTCAAAATACATATTCAAATCTCTTTTTAAAAGTATGTTTACTTATGAGGAAAAGAGCCTCCCTTCCCTGTAGATCCTAAAAGAATTTCTGGAAAGGTGATGTAGGCAGAGGGAAACTGGAGTTTACACATGTATATAATAGAGAAAATGTGAAACTGGGTGTGATAGTTCCTGACTTCAGCTGGTGGTCAACTCCTTCATTTCTCTCTAAATGTAGCTCTTATGTATTTTATAACAGTAAAAGCCATATTTCAAAATTTCTGAGTCTGTAGCTTTTGGTTATTTTGTCACAAGTTGGACTTTGGGACTCTGCTCTTGTGCCTATAGACACTGTAGGGTTAGAGGTATTGGTAGGAAAATTGGGGATATTGGCACATGCTCGTTATTGCTTGAAGCCTTTGAGAAAGGGATAGTCTAAGAGGCAAGTTTAGGTGAAAAGTGACATGCCTGAATGCAGAAAGGGAAGACAGTTGAGTTTTGCTAATACAGACTCCTCCTGCCCATAACCTAGAATCTAAATCGATTTGAAGGCCATAGTTTGGAGATTTTCAAGCTTGCAAATCCCAATTTTGTACAAAATTGATATCCTTCTCCTACTCACCTCCCAAAAGGTAGAGAAAAAAGAAATTTCTCCGGAGATATGACTGATAAAATTGGGACAAAAGCAAATCTGATTCCCCATGCCTCTCCTTAATATCCCTCACCACACATCCTTTGTAAGACAGGAGGCACTATCTAGCTTAGGTGCACCCAGGAGGGCTGGGGTCACAGGTGACATCACCCCTCCCCTGCTTCACACCCTCTTCCACCACATGGCTTTTGTTACCAGTTGCCTCAAGGTGGAAGCCATTAAACTTCGTGCTTGAAGGTGGGAAAATCATAGAGACATGTGGGGAGGAGGAGGGATTGTGGCTCTCACAGGCCTCGTTCAGACAAGATGACTGGCCATTATCGGTGCCTGGACCTGACCAGAAGTGAATTTCAAACTGATAAAAGTCTGGAACAATTCAAGCCCTATTGTCCTGAGGCCATAGAATCTGTATCTACTGGAAGTGAGCTGTTAAATCTGGCAGCATCCAGGAGGGCATCTTCTTCAACGCTTACCCCAGAAATGGCCATGGAAGACAATGGGCAAGGGAGGCTCCAGTGGAGTGGAACTAGGGACGTCCATGGGGCTGACAGAGAAACTCACTCGATTCCTGGGTCATGGAACTAGTATTTGCTATTGATGTCCTTCAGGAAATAACATGTGCTATGGATCAGTGATGACAGTCACTTTTCTGAATGAAAGGTTTTATTGGGTTTATCTTGTTTTTTTCTTGATGAGACTTTAGGTTCTTTTCACCCTTGGAAGGACTATGTGCATTTTGTGGAAGTATGAGCACTTTTTGAACAATGTATGGAAGCTAGGAAGTCAAAGAGGTAGACTGTGGAAGATAATGGTTGGGTAGTTTTTAGCCCAATAATCTTTCTCCCTGTCTCCCTTGCCAGAAGAGCCATTGTTTTGTTTGAAAGTCACTCAGGCAAGGGGACTGTATTCCTCATTTTAGGGATAAACACTGTTGTTATATGCCAAGTATGGTAATCTCATTCCCTTTGCCAGTGGTTGATTTTTCCAACGGACCTGGATATAATTCTGGCTGATAAGAAGTGGTAGGTTTCTAAGAATTGGGGTTCGTGATTTGCATTCTAATTCTTACAGAGGGTAAAGAAGAAAAACTACAGGTGTTGATGGAATTTATATTCAGAATCTGTATCTCAAGGCAAGTGAAGAAAGGTCTACTAGAACAGCCCTGGGAATAAATTACTGTTTGCTTGCTTGGTAAAAATTAGAATAGTATTGTTTTCCAAAAATTATGTACAAATTGCAGTAAGGCATTATTTGTCTTTAGAGTCATTGAATGCTATTTGCTGAAATAAACAATATGCAGTCTGATTAAGTTTTTTGAAAGGGTCACTTTTAAGGACAGCTGCAGCATGCTTTTCTTTCAGAAGCTCTGTTCTGCGCAAGGGCAGGAGGTGGGTCATTTGTTTTTCCTACTTCATAAGGAGGAAGCAGCCCGTGCCCTCACTTGAGCTGAGCAGCATAAGAAGAATCTCAATGAAGCCTCCAACTTAATAAGATCAGTTTCTCTCTTCTGCAAAGTTCCAGGCAGCTTGTATGATTTAGATATTTTACCATCAGGATCAATAGATCATCAGGAGAACAAATAGCTACTTCTACTATGTTTCTATTATTGATTTCTAGCCTACTTTAAGAAAAATAACATTTAAATACAAAGCTGGGGATACTACTCAGCAATAAGGATGGACTACAGCCCCATGCAACAACATGGATGCATCTTACCAATGAGAAAGAAGCCAGACATGAAAGAGAACATCCTGTATGATTCCTTAAAGTTCAGAAACAGGCAAAATGTTCTATGATGTCAGAAGTCAGGAGCATGGCTACCCTGAGGTGAGGGGATACTGACTGGGAGGGTTGCTAGATATCTTCTGATTCTTTTATGTTTTTTTGTTTTGTTTTGAGACAGGGTCTTGCTCTGTTACTCAGGCTGGAGTGGAGTGGCATGACCATGGCTCACTGCAGCCTCAACCTCCTGAGCTCCAGTGATCCTCCTGCCTAAGCCTCCTGAGTAGCTGGGACTAATGGCAGGCATCACCATGCCCAGCTATTTTTCATTTTTATTTTTAGTAGAGACGAGGTCCTGCTATGTTGTCCAGGCTGATCTTGAACTCCTGGGTGGGCTCAAGTGATCCTCCCACCTTGGCTTCCCAAAATGCTGTGCTTACAGGTATAAGCCATCATGCCCAGCCTGTTCTGATTCTTAATCTGGGTGTTGGTTTTACAGGTATGTGTATTTTGTGAGAAGTTATGATTGTGCAGTTTTTTAAATATGTATCTTATCATTCAATTAAAAGTTTGCCAAAAAACTACAAAACTGACCCTTAAAGGGTATCTGGTAAAATTCATGTGTTTAAGAAAGACATGAGGTGACAGAAACCAGAATGTCAGAGCTATTGGTGGACTTCCCCCTTTGTATTCATTTTAGTCACCCTAAAGCTGTTCAAACACTTGTTTTGGTTAGGGCCATGGTTACAAGTGACAGAATCAAATCCCAATTAGCTTCATCTCAAAGGGGAATTGATTTGAGCCACAAAAATCTAAAAGAAAATGTTGAAAAACCAAGTATGGGAAAGAGTGGGGATGCAGATGGGCTTCACGAATAACTAGAGCCAAGTTACTGAGGTGCATGAGGAGGCTCCCCTCATTCCTCCTGTGCTGTGTGTGTGTTGCCAGCTTCCTTCTCTTTCCTTGCAGACTGGATCACTCCATGTCAGTGGAAACATGTCCACCAACTTCATCATTGTCTGTTGTCATGGTTCACTTTAGATGTAAACTTGACTGGATTAAGGATTCCCTAAAGTGTCAGGCCTCTGAGCCCAAGCTAAGCCATCATATCCCCTGTGACCTGCATGTACACATCCAGATGGCCGGTTCCTGCCTTAACTGACGACATTCCACCACAAAAGAAGTGAAAATGGCCTGTTCCTGCCTTAACTGATGACATTATCTTGTGAAATTCCTTCTCCTGGCTCATCCTGGCTCCAAAGCTCCCCCACTGAGCACCTTGTGACCCCCACTCCTGCCCACCAGAGAACAACCCCCTTTGACTGTAATTTTCCTTTACCTTCCCAAATCTTATAAAATGGCCCCACCCCATCTCCCTTTGCTGACTTTCTTTTCAGACTCAGCCCTCCTGCAACCAGTTGATTAAAAGCTTTATTGCTCACACAAAGCCTGTTTGGTGGTCTCTTCACACGGATGCAAGTGAAATTTGGTGCCGTGACTTGGATTGGGGGACCTCCCTTGGGAGATCAGTCCCCTGTCCTCCTGCTCTTTGCTCCGTGAAAAAGATTCACCTACAACCTCGGGTCCTCAGACCCACCAGCCCAAGGAACATCTTACCAATTTTAAATTGGGTAAGCAGCCTCTTCTTACTCTCTTCTCCAACCTATCTCACTATCCCTCAGCCACTTTCTCCTTTCAATCTTGGCGCCACCCTTCAATCTCTCCCTTCTCTTAATTTCAGTTCCTTTCCTTTTCTGGTAGAGACAGGAGACGCACTTTATCCATGGACCCAAAACTCTGGCGCCGGTCATGGACTCGGGAAGACAGTCTTCCCTTGGTGTTTAATCACACAGGGACACCTGCCTGATTATTCACCCACGTTTCAGAGGTGTTTGACCACAAGGGGATGCCTGCCTTGGTCCTTGACCCTTAGCAGCAAGTACCTCTTTTCTGGGGGGCAAGAACCTCCCAGCCCCTTCTCCTTCACCCTTAGCGGCAAGTAGTGCTTTTCTAGGGGGCAAGAACCCCCCAACCCCTTCTCTCCATGTCTGTACCCCTTCTCTGCTTTTCTGGGGGCAAGAACCTCCCAATCCCTTATTTCCACACCCCAACCTCTTATCTCTGCACCCCGATCCCTTATTTCCACGCCCCGAACTCTTATCTCTGCACCCCGATCCCTTTTTTCTGCACCCCGACCTCTTATCTCTGTGCCCTGATTCCTTATTTCCACGCCCCGACCTCTTATCTCTGTGCCCTGATCCTTTATTTCCACACCCTGACCTCTTATCTCTGCACCCCAACCCCTTATTTCCATGCCCCAACCCCTTTCCTGCTTTTCTGGGGGGTAAGAATCCCCAAACCCCTTCTCTCCATGTCTCTACTCTCTCTTTTCTCTGGGCTTGCCTCCTTCACTATAGGCAACCTTCCACCCTCCATTCCTCCTTCTTCTCCCTTAGCCTGTGTTCTCAAGAACTTAAAACCTCAACTCACACCTGACCTAAAACCTAAATGCCTTATTTTCTTCTGCAATGCTGCTTGACCCCAGTACAAACTCGACAGTGGTTCCAAATAGCCAGAAAATGGCACTTTCAATTTTTCCATCCTACAAGATCTAAATAATTCTTGTCATAAAATAGGCAAAAGGTCTGAGGTGCCTGACATCCAGGCATTCTTTTACACATTGTTCCCTCCCTAGTCTCTGTTCCCAATGCGACTCGTCCCAAATCGTCCTTCTTTCCCTCCCGCCTGTCCCCTCAGTCCCAACCCCAAGTGTCGCTGAGTCTTTCTAATCTTCCTTTCTAAAGACCCATCTGACTTCTCCCCTCCTCACCAGGCCCAGCCAGGTCCCAATTCTTCCTCAGCCTCTGCTCCCCCATCCTATAATCCTTTTATCACCTCCCCTCCTCAGACCCTGTCTAGCTTACAGTTTCCTTCCTGGACTAGCCTTCCCCCACCTGTCCAGCAATTTCCTCTTAAAAAGGTGGCTGGAGCTAAAGGCATAGTCAAGTTTAATGCTCCTTTTTCTTTATCTGACGTCTCCCAAAATCAGTTAGTGTTTAGGCTGTTTTTAATCAAATATGAAAAACCCAGCCCAGTTCATGGCTCGTTTGGCAGCAACCCTGAGATGCTTTACCGCCCTAGACCCTGAAAGGTCAGAAAGCCGTCTTATTCTCAATATGCATTTTATTGTATTACCCAATCTGCTCCCAACATGAAATAAAGCTCCAAAAATTAAATCCCAGCCCTCAAACCCCACACAGGACTTAATTAATCTCACCTTCAAGGTGTACAATAATAGAGTAGAGGCAGCCAAGTAGCAATGTTATTTCTGAGTTGCAATTCCTTGCCTCCACTGTGAGACAAACCCCAGCCACATCACCAGCACACGAGAACTCCAAATGCCTGAACTGCAGCTGCCAGGGGTTCCTCCAGAACCTCCTCCCCCAGGAGCTTGCTACAAGTGCCAGAAATCTGGCCACTGGGCCAAGGAATGCCCACAGCCTGGGATTCCTCCTAAGCCATGTCCCATCTATGCGGGACCCCACTGAAAATCGGACTGTTCAACTCACCTGGCAGCCACTTCCAGAGCCCCTGGAACTCTGGCCCAAGGCTCTCTGACTGACTCTTTCCCAGATCTTCTCGGCTTAGCAGCTGAAGACTGACACTGCCTGATTGCCTCAGAAGCCTACAGGACCATCACAGATGCTCTAGGTAACTCTCACAGTGGAGGGTAAGTCTGTCCCCTTCTTAATCAATACAGAGGCTACCCACTCCACATTACCTCCTTTTCAAGGGCCTGTTTCCCTTGCCTCCATAACTGTTGTGGGTATTGACGGCCAGGCTTCTAAACCTCTTAAAACTCCCCAACTCTGGTGCCAACTTAGACAATACTCTTTTAAGCACTCCTTTTTAGTTATCTCCACCTGCCCAGTTCCCTTATTAGGCCGAGATACTTTAACTAAATTATCTGCTTCCCTGACTATTCCTGGACTACAGCTGCATCTCATTGCTGCCCTTCTCCCAACCCAAAGCCTCAGTTGTGTACAAGCCTTACAAGTTAGTTCAGGATCTGCGCCTTATCAACCAAATTGTTTTGCCTATCCACCCCGTGGTGCCAACCCATATACTCTCCTATCCTCAATACCTGCCTCTACAATCCATTATTCTGTTCTGGATCTCAAACATGCTTTCTTTACTATTCCTTTGCACCCTTCATACCCAGCCTCTCTTCGCTTTCACTTGGACTGACCCTGACACCCATCAGGCTCAGCAAATTACCTGGGCTGTACTGCCACAAGTCTTCACAGACAGCCCCCATTCCTTCAGTCAAGCCCATATTTCATCTTCATCTGTTACCTATCTCGGCATAATTCTCATAAAAACACACGTGCTCTCCCTGCTGATCGTGTTCGACTAATCTCCCAAACCTGAATCCCTTCTACAAAACAACAACTCCTTTCCTTCCTAGGCATGGTTAGTGCGGTCAGAATTCTTACACAAGAGCCAGGACCGCACCCTGTAGCCTTTCTGTCCAAACAACTTGACCTTACTGTTTTAGCCTAGCCCTCACGTCTGCATGCAGCAGCTGCTGCTGCTTTAATACTTTTAGAGGCCCTAAAAATCACAAACTATGCTCAGCTCACTCTCTACAGTTCTCAAACCTTCCAAAATCTATTTTCTTCCTCATACCTGATGCATATACTTTCTGCTTCCCGGCTCCTTCAGCTATACTCTTTGTTGAGTCTCCCACAATTACCATTGTTCCTGGCACGGACTTCAATCTGGCCTCCCACATTATTCTGGATACCACACCTGACCCTCATGACTGTATCTCTCTGATCCACCTGACATTCACCCCATTTCCCCATATTTCCTTATTTCCTGTTCCTCACCCTGATCACATTTAGTTTATTGATGGCAGTTCCACCAGGCCTAATCGTCACTCACCAGCAAAGGCAGGCTATGCTACAGTATCTTCCACATCTATCATTGAGGCTACTGCTCTGACCCCCTCCACTACCTCTCAGCAAGCCGAACTCATTGCCTTAAGTCAAGCCCTCACTCTTGCAAAAGGACTAAATGTCAATATTTATACTGACTCTAAATATGCCTTCCATATCCTGCACCACTGTGCAAGAGATTTCCTCACTACACAAAGGTCCTCTATCATTAATGCCTCTTTAATAAAAACGCTTCTCAAAGCTGCTTTACTTCCAGAGGAAGCTGGAGTCATTCACTGCAAAGGTCATCAAAGGGCATCAGATCCCATCGCTCAGGACAATGCTTACGCTGATAAGATAGCTAAAAAAGCAGCTAGCATTCCAACTTATATCCCTCACTTTCAGTTTTTCTCCTTCTCATCTGGCCACTCCCACCTACTTCCCCACTGAAACTTCCACCTATCAATCTCTTCCCACACAAGGCAAATGGTTCTTAGATCAAGGAAAATATTTCCTTCCAGCCTCACAGGCCCATCCTATTCTGTCGTCATTTCATAACCTCTTCCATGTAGGTTACAAGCCACTAGCCCGTCTCTTAGAACCTCTCATTTCTTTTCCATCATGGAAATCTATCCTCAAGGAAATCACTTCTCAGTGTTCCATCTGCTATTCTACTACCCCTCAGGGATTGTTCAGGCCTCCTCCCTTTCCCACACATCAAGCTCAGGGATTTGTCCCTGCCCAGGACTGGCAAATTGGCTTTATTCAACATGCCCTGAGTCAGGAAACTAAAATACCTCTTGGTCTGGGTAGACACTTTCACTGGATGGCCTTTCCTACAGGGTCTGAGAAGGCCACTGCGGTCATTTCTTCCCGTCTGTCAGACATAATTATTCGGTTTGGCCTTCCCACCTCTACGGTCCGATAGTGGACCGGCCTTTATTAGTCAAATCAGCCAAGCAGTTTTTCAGGCTGTTGGTATTCAGTGAAACCTTTATATCCCTTACAGTCCTCAGTCTTCAGGCAGCCACCAACTTAAAAAGGACTGGACAATACTTTTACCTCTTTCTTTTCTCAGAATTCAGGCCTGTCCTCGAAATGCTACAGGTATAGCCCATTTGAGCTCCTGTATGGATGCTCCGTTTTATTAGGCCCCAGTCTCATTCCAGACACCAGACCAACTTGGACTGTGCCCCAAAAAACTTGTCATCCCTACTATCTTCTGTCTAGTCATACTCCTATTCACCGTTCTCAACTACTCATACATGCCCTGCTCTTGTTTACACTGCCGGTTTACACTGTTTCTCCAAGTCATCACAGCTGATATCTCCTGGTGCTATCCCCAAACTGCCACTCTTAACTCTTAAAGTAAATAAATAATCTTTGCTGGCAGGACTATGCTGACCCTCCTTAGGCACTCTCTAATCAGATGTCCTGAGTCCTCCCAATTCTTAGACCTTTAATACCTGTTTTCTCCTTCTCTTTTTCCGTTTAGTTTTTCAATTCATACAAAACCATATTCAGGCCATCACCAAGAATTCTAAATGACAAATGTTTCTTCTAACAGTCCCACAATATCACCCCTTACCACAAAATCTTCCTTCAGCTTAATCTCTCCCACTCTAGGTTCCCACACCGCCCCTAATCCCACTCAAAGCAGCCCTGAGAAATATCTCTCCATACCATCCCCCCAAATTTTTGCCATCCCAACACTTTACCACTATTTCATTTTATTTTTCTTATTAATATAACAAGACAGGAATGTCAGGCCTCTGAGCCCAAGCTAAGCCATCATATCCCCTGTGACCTGCACGTACACATCCAGATGGCCTGTTCTTGCCTTAACTGATGACATTATCTTGTGAAATTCCTTCTCCTGGCTCATCCTGGCTCAAAAGCTCCCCTACTGAGCACCCTGTGACCCCCACACCTGCCTGCCAGAGAACAACCCCCTTTGTAATTTTCCTTTACCTACCCAAATCTTATAAAACAGCCCCACCCCATCTCCCTTTGCTGACTCTCTTTTCGGACTCAGCCCGCCTGCACCCAGCTGATTAAAAGCTTTATTGCTCACACAAAGCCTGTTTGGTGGTCTCTTCACATGGACACGAGTGAAATAAAGAACAGGTAAATAAATGATTATTTCTGAGTATGTCATGGAGGCTGTTTCCAGAGGAGATTGCCATGTGAGTCAATGGACTGAGTGGGGAAGATCTGCCCTCAATGTGGGCAGGCACCATCCAATCAGCTGGGTACCTGAATAGAACAAAAAGGTGAGTTCCTCTCTCTCTCTCCTGGATTTGGGGTATACTTTTCTTCTGTCCCTTGGACATCAGAACTCCAAGCTCCAACTTTTAGGCTCTAAAACTTACCACACTCCTCCACCCCACCCCAAGTTCTCAGGCCTTCAGCTTCGGACTGAGAATTACACCACCTGCTTCCCTAGTTCCAAGGCCTTTGAACTTAGACTGAGCCATGCTACCAGCATCCCAGGGTCTCCAGCTCGCAGACAACCTGTCTTAGCCAATTCCCCTAATAAATTCCTTTTTATCTATCTATCTATCTATCTATCTATCTATCTATCTATCTATCTTCTATCTTCCCTCTCTCTCTCTCTGTAGACACACACACACACACACACACACACACACACACACACACTATTGGTCCCATATCTATGGAGAACCCTAATACTGAACCTTCCAGCTTCAGTCACCATAGGGAGATTGCTCAGTGTCAAGTCCAAAAAATTCTAACCAAAGGAGTCAAGAGTCAGTAGCCCACTTTGGATTGAGTGCCAGTTAGGTTGATGGGTCATGTACTATATACAGAGAGAGAGAGAGAAAGAGAGAGAGAGCTCCTGTGAGAAATACGGATGGGAAAGGTGGCAGTTTCTAGAAAAACAAGTATGTGAGTGTGGAGGAGACAATCCTATAGATCTCCATCCACTCTAACAATTAGCCTATTGTTTCCATAGTAAAATGGAATTTTATAAACATTAATGTCATAGAACCCATGATTCAACATTCAACCATTTGCAAATATTTTCCATTCTTTGCAAAAGCAATATCATTGGCAAGGCTAGCACAGGCTAGGTGTGGTTGTGATTTTCTTTTTGGTTGCTGTGCCAGAGGGACCCTTGCTTTTCAGGATTCCCAAGGATTAGAGCTTCCATGTGTCGAAGGTAAGGACAGAGTAAACAGGATGCATAATTCTTAGGCAGCATGAATGGCTGCAAAAAGGCCTTGAGGTTTCATCAGCCAGCATTTCTGAAGCATCTCCTATGCAGCAAGCATTCTGTAAGGTGATGCCCTCAGCAGTAGGCTGGTACCTCAATAAATATTTATGCAATAAATATTTGCTGAATGGAATATGTGTGTGGCATTTAGTGACCTTTGGTTCATTCTTGCTGAAGAGCCCAGCAGCTTCTCACATGCAAATGATGCCACAGTCACCCAAGCCCCTGTCACCACTGCAAACACAGACAGCTGCACCTTGGAAGATGGGAACCTGAAACATTTTCATGGGCTTACTTAGTTGATGGAGGTGATGGTGAAGGTGGGAGTGGAAGCTGTGGAGGTGTGGCAATTGAGAACACTGGGTCTCAAACTGTAGCATGTATTCAAATCACCTGGAAGGCTTGTTAAAACAGATTCCTGGGCTCTGCCCTAGTAGGTCCTTGGCAGGCCTGAGAATTTGCATTTCTAACAAGTTCCCAGGTAATACTGATGCTGCCGGCTGACTTTGAGAACCACAGAGCTATCAGAGTGGCCCTTCTCAAGCCTGGCTACACATTAAAAATCACCTGGTAGCCCCCTCCCCACTACCCTAGCAGAGACCAACTAGATGAGAATCTCTGGGAATTGGTCTGAGGTTATGTCTCAGCTCTACAGGTGATTCCAATGTGCATCCAGAGGCCATAATCAGTGCCTTACATCAACCAAGACAAATGTAAACATGATAGGGCAGAGAGAAGGCCCTTGGAGAGAGCCTTAGACACATGAAGTATAAGCTAAAATTCTTCTATGTCAGTTAGTTTGATTAGTACTGACTGCCAAATAGCAAAAGAAGCCCCCACAGATCCATGGGGTGGGGGGAGGCTCAGTACTTTTAAGATTTGTGAAGGGGTCCCAAGAACAAAACAATTGAGAACTAGCATTATTAGCTCTATGGTGAACAATAGGACCCTCAGGAAGTGCCAGACCTGGGAGGGAACTTGGGTACCCTACAACCGGGCTCTCATTTTACAGATGAGAAAACTGAGGCTCGGCTCTCTAGCGGTTTGCCGGCAGGTCACCCAAGGGGCAATGACAGAGCCAGCCCTGGGCTCTGATGGCAGCTTCTGTGCTTCCTGATTCCCATCCCTGGGATTGAGACCGGGACAACGCTTTTCCATAGGTGTTCCTAGATTAGCAGAGGATGCTGGGAACAGCTTTCTGTGGCTCATTCTTGCATAGAAAGAAAACCCTCCTAAAGGTTTTGGAATCTCGCCCTTCATGTTCACTGTGCTCACACAAAGCTCTTCTTTTCAGAAGCAGTTCTTTTCTCAGAACACTTCAAATGTAACAAATATACATCCATCAGCGTGGAGCGGCAATCAGCTCACTCACTATTCATTCGAGTTGGTGACCCAGGGCCTCCGCGCCCTGGAAACGCTCCACGGGGACACCGCGCCGTGCCAGAGAAGCTGGCCTCCAAACAACCCGCTGTAAACAGCTTTGCAGAGATCTTCCTCTGGAGGGCACAGATCCCTGGGATTGCTAGGATGAGGTTTCTCATTCTTTCCGAAGTAAAGGGAACTGGCAAAGTTAAAGCAGGAATGAAAGAGCTTTGATCTTATGAGGCGGAGGTGCTTATCCCAGCTGGGGTTAACAAGGAGGACATTCAAGCACTGCGAGCGGTCCACTCCTCGTTCTTGCATGCCCCAGCCCTGAAGGAAGTGGGTTGCAGCTCTCGTTACCCATCCTCCAGGTGGATCCTCTTCCTTCTGCCCGCCCTCAAAAGGCAAAGAACCACTGCGGGCTGATGGCGCCCTCTGGAGGCCGTGATGGGAAACTGTGTGCCTCAATTTTGCAGCCACGGCTGCCTTCCCCTCCCCCACTTTCCAGGGGCTCCTGCCCAGGTCGGGCTTCCCAAGGTCTCTTCCTCAGTACATTACACATACTCCTTCTTATGTGTGAGCACATAGATAGCAAAGCACCCAGAGGCACGCATACCCTTCTTTAACCCCCCGGTTCATCTCAAGTCTTACCTGTCAGTTATCTCACGTTAAAAAAAAAAAAAAAAAACAATTCCACCTCCCTCTTTTCATTCCATTTGTGTTGCCCAGAGTTTAATCACATCTGACAAGACTCACAGGGGTGTTAGTGAAAGAACTCTACCAAGGGAAAGAAACACCACCTGCAATGAAGTAAAACTGAGTGCAGTCAACAGATGTAATCCTGTAGGGCCTGGTGGGGCTGCCAGGCTCCCAGGTAGAGGAAACCACCATCGCAGTTTGCAGAAGACTAGTGGAGCTCCCGGGTCATGAGATTATTAAGTGCTAAAACCGGGACACTCCCATTAAAACTGTGGCAGTGGGTCGCCCTACTTCAAGGACTTGGTGGTCCAGAGGTTTCGCCTTCCTGGGAGATTTCTCCTTGATTCATTCGGGAGAAATGAAAGAACTGAGTGGGGAAGGAAAAATGAAAGTAAGTATTAAATAGCTCTTATAAATTACAGGAATTTGGGGAGCACCCATGCTTACGCAGACACGTAGGCAGATGTATAGAGTACACCGATTTGGATTTAATGTAGGATGACTATTGATTCCGTTTTTGAAGCATTCATACTAACAATGTCCCTTAAATAAAAGCAATCTCACATTTTTGTCAAAGAAACATTAATAATTTCCACTTATGCATGTTTGCGTAATTTCTTATTACTCTAGTTAAAAAGCTTATGCATCTCATAAAAGCTAAAAAGTAATAGCTGCTTTTAAATTTTATTTTTTATTTTTATGAGTACATAGTCGGAGTGTGTATTTATGGGGTATATGAGATGTTTTGATACAGGCATACAATGCATTATAATCACATCAGGGTAAATGGAGTATCTATCACCTCAAGCATTTATCATTTCTTTGTGTCACAAACATTCCAATTATACTTTTAGTTATTTTTAAATGTACAATAAATTACTGTTGACTGTAGTCACCCTGTTGTGCTATCACATTCTTATTTATTCTATCTAACTATATTTTTGTACCCATTAACCATCCCCAATGTCTTCCACTTCCTACTGCCCCTCCCAGCCCATGGTAATCATCATTGTGTTCTCTATCTCCATGAATTCAATTGTTTTAATTTTTAGTTCCCACAAATGAGTGAGAATATGTAAAATTTGTCTTCTGTGAATGGCTACTTTTTATTGAGCACTTGACTACTGAGAACCGCACTGTCTTTTTATCATACACAAATGATGGATGAGGAAACTGAGCCTTAGAGAGGCAGGTGACTTGCCCAAAGTAAATGGCAGAGAAATATTTGCATTCAGGTCCCTGACCACAAAGCCTGTGCTCTAAACCACACATATTAGATTTGTTTTGTATATGGTCTCTTACCTCATAAAAATAACACATTGCTTAACATTTTATAAGCGTCTCCCTCCACTGTCATCCCAATAGTCTTTCAGCCTACAATTAATCCTCCTCCAGTTTGTTTCCTGTGGCTTAGAATTTTGTTCCCTGGTAAAGGGCAAGTATCCCCTGTAAATTTCCCAGTTGACCAGGAGAGATCAGACTTGAGCTGCAGTCACACCTTGAGCTGATTTTTTTTTTTTTTTTTTTTTTATGGGGGAACATTGGCGAGAAGCCACAAGCCCTAGCTGGCAGTCATGGGACAGGGAATTGACTTCCTGAGAAAGAAACCCAAGGGACTTATACAGCATTTGGAGTACACCATAGATTTTGCCCTTTCTGAGATCACTTTTTATCTCTTTATGTTTGTTGCTTCCTGATACGGGGAACAAATTTGATGATATGGAACAGAATGAAGCTAAAAGTGAAAGGGTCTCGTTACTTTCTCCTCACCTCAAACCAACTTTCTTCTCACCTCAAACCACATGCTTCATTTTATTTTTCTGTAAATATTACCTTGAAAATAAAATTCAATCCCAAAATTTTCTACTTATTAAACTTACTCTTATACATTTATTTTAAAAAATCATTTAACTTTCACCCACATTGCATGAGATCACATTATGCTGGCATCACAACTTAAGGGAAAAACAGTAGGTTTCTCTTTTACAAATAAAGATTACAGATAAAAAAGAATATTGATTAAGCTGGAAATTCTTTAGGCTGTTTGCATTTTATTTCCATTAGCCTCTAGCAGTTAAATTCACAAATGATATTTTTCTGTGGCTCTATGCAGGGATCAAGTGTACCTGCTATCTTTTGTTGAGCATTCCTTGAGTATCTTTCTGGTTGGCCATGTCCAGGCTATGACCCCTGCAGTAGCCTGTTGATACAGTAAAGAGAAAACCAAAAGCACAGAAGTAATAGATTAAGTAACTGTAAGATGCAAGAAATGAGGATTCCCAAACCCAGAACCATCTGGTCCAGGCGATATGACTGACATATTCCCTCTTTTCTCTTCCTTGTTTGTCCACAACATGAAACCCCTAAGTTCTGAGATCTTTGGACCTGACCAGTTTCTCTCTGTGCATCATAGTCCCCAAACTCTAGAATTCCACTCGCGAAGAAAAGGCAAGACAGCCCACGGGTCTTTGAGATTATGTGCATTCCTGAGCGGCTGTATGTTGGTTCTGCAGTAAAGCAAAGGGAAAGTTAAAGAGAAACAGTAACCACAGAATACAATTTAGTGCATATTTTTGCAGATCTTTTCCTAAGCTATAATCTATTATATTCTTGAGGTTTTGTTGGACTCTTCTAAATAGGTCGAATTATCTGGTGGTTAAACAGTTGTGACCTTTCAACGACTGGATAGACAGCACATGCTTTTGTTCCTTGTCTCTAACTTAATATGTTCTTTTTTAGCTCTTACTTTTGAAGGGATTAACTTTAAACCATTATCAAGATTTCTCTTTTAAAACAACCCATTCTTTGTTACTTGAAACTCTATCACTTAAGAACTTTGAGTCTTTTTCACATTTGTATGTAGGAGGCCTTATGGGTTTTCAACCCATTTATAATGGGAACCAATGATACAGGGAAGAGGTCAACCTTAATTCAAGGCCCACCATATGGAGGCAGAGAATTTCAGATTCCTCAGCACCCAGTCACTTCACCAATAAAAACTTGGAGGGGTTGGGGAGGGGGATATGAAAGATAGGTTTTGTCAAAATGGAATTTTCTTTTTAAAAAATTGATCTGTCACTCAAAAAATATGCATTGAGCACTTCCTGTATTCCAGGCAATGTTGTAAGTACAGTGGAGATGATGGTGAGAAAAGGTGGACAAAGTCTCTGCTTATATGGAGTTTACATCCTAGAGAGGAGAGAAAGATCATAAACAAGCAAATTAATCACTTACATTACTGAAGATTTTAAGCTAGAAATATAACATATTTTTGTCATAAATTTGGATAATACAGAGGAGTATAAAGCAAGAAGTAACAGTGACCTTCCCAAGCTCCCTCCAAGTCCTTCCTGAAAGGTAACCATTGTTGCAATTTAATGTGTAATTTCTACCACGTGTATGCAAACATGTACGTTGATTGTGGGGGAGGGATCACAATGTACATATTACATGGCAACTTGCCTTTTTCCTCCTTGGCCAGGTATTAGATGCAGCTTTCCTCATCAGAACATAGATCTACCACATTCTTTGCAAGGTCATAGTGTGAATGTATGAATCCATTCCTCTATTGGCAGGCATCTTGTTTCCATTTCCTTGTCATTACAAACACTGCTGCTGTGAACACTCTTTGTATTATGTCATTTGTAATGATAGCAGTATTTCTAGGAGATAGAATCCTTCAGCTGAAAGATCTGGGTCAAAGGGCATGCATATTAGATTGATTTTGCTGATGATGAATGCATTTGAAAAACACATAGGAGGGAAAAAGAGAAGAAGAGATGAGGACTCATAAAAAGTATCAGGAAAAGCAGTGCTTAGTAAAGAGTGCAAGCAGAGCAGGATGGGAGCAGAACTGACCACAGAATGTAATTATACAATCTCTTCATCGGCCTCCCATGAATTCCCCATAAATTCCATAGCTGGACAGTTATTTCATTTAAGCTCCACAAAAATACATGTCAATGGTCCTCATTTGGTACTATTTGCCTTAACTCATAGTATGTTTTATGGAAACCCAATAAGTGTTGGTCAAATTCAAGCCATGAAATATGTATTGAATTTATCCATACATTACATTGTATTTATTTAATTCAATCAGTAAATATTCCTGGAGTGCCTGCTATGTGTCAGACACTGTGCTGAACCCTAGAGATTCAGCCGTGAATCCAGTAGAGCCCATCAAACTCAACAGCCTAGTGTGGGAGAGAGTTATCAATCCAATCCTGGAGCATAAAGTTGCCAGTGTGACATGCTAAGAAGATATCTGATATTTACAAGAGCCTCTGATGGGAGGCTTGATCCAATTGTGAAGGCCAGGAAAGTTTTCTCTGAAGAAAGTTCTCCTGAGTTGAGTTGGGAAAGGTTTGCTTATTAGGTAATGATGTATAGGCTAAGACAGGAAGGGCTGCTTGGATTTACTTAGCTATGTAGATTAAGAGGGAGGTAGGAGGGGACCTGATCCAAGCCTCAGTACGGGGATAAAATTGGCAAGGATGGGGTGAAAGAAAGCCAGGTGGGTCTGGATGGAACTTATAGTTCATGACTAAGCATGAGACTTTGTGGAACAATGTCAGCTTCACTGGAGAAGCTGATGAGGACAATGAGATCCTTAAAGAACCTGACCCTAGCACAATATCCAGCACATAGTAGGAACTTTAAAAAGATTGATTAAAAGCACAAAGGAATGATAGCTCATGACTAATTAAGCCTGAGCATTGAGCAACCATGCAGATACACCCCTGAATTTGCAGGGCTTGAAGCAAGTGTACAAATGAAGCCCACACAGCATGTGCCTAAATATTTTAAAGTTGTATATAATGCCACATCCACAGCCAACCTCTGTTCTTACCCAGTGCCCTGCAGTGTGATCCCCAGAGAATGACGCTGGTGTTCTTCCCCTGGGCACTCCTGCTGCCTGTGAACTTGAGTGATTTCAAGGCAGGTGGGGCAGAAGGTGGCCCAGGCTCCCAGGTTACCTGGACCCACCTGGACCCACTGGACCTGGGATGGAGGCTGACTTATCAAGCTGCCCAGGAAGCCAGGGTTTCCTGAAACTGTCATCCAAGCAAAGGTGAAGTAGAAGGCACAGTGATCTGTCCGCCTGGACATCCACTTGGGGTGATTTGGGGTATGTGACTTGAACCAAATGGCAGCCCTTTTACATTTCCCAGGGCAAAAACCATAATCCTTCACTTCCCCTCCCTACAGCCTCCTGTGGCCTGAGAGGCCCAATTGGATGGCATGTTCTCTTGCCCCAGTCTAGGGGTGGTGTTGATACTGAAACTGTTTCTGGATTAATAATAGCATCATTGAATTTATAGTGTAGGAGAGTTACTGCTCATATTATTCACTCAGGTCCTTCTTTTTTCTGGAGACCTCCCATGGGCCAGGCCCAGCCGGGACAATAGGGTTGAACACCAAGTCCTGGTCTGTGTGCTCAGGGAGCTTGCACTGTGGCTGGGATGACAGATTCTACACAAGCAGTTGCAATTGAGATGAGTGTCACGAGAAGGGAAGTCCAGGGTGAAGAAGAGGGGAAGCTACCTACCCATGGTCACAGGGCTAGTCCAGTGAGTGGCTGAACTATGAATAAAGCCCACCTTGGTTGGACTCCTGGATCCTTTCTCACCTCCCCATCACTGCACCATTCAACCCGGAGCTATGGGGCCGCCTTGGAGGGGAACTCCAGTGGCAGCTCCCGGACGCCCCTCAGTGAGCACATCTTGAAGAATCACAGACACCGTCCTCGGGCTCTTTCCATCTCACTTCTGGGTCAGCCCAAAGGGGAAAACTTCCCCAAACACATCCTGCCCCTTCAGCAAGTGCTCTCCAACTGCTTCCATGTGGGGAGCTTGAGAAAGGAAGGGCGTTTGATGCCGGTAGGCAGTACTGACCAGCCCAGAACAGCTGGCACCGACTCCGTGGTCGGGGCAGAGCCCTCTGCATTTAGATCAGCAGCAGATTTGGCCCATGGTGCGTCGGACAGAGCTTCACTCTCCCTCTCTACAGGCCAGCCCTCGGCTCTCAGGGGTGGCTGTTCTGAAAGACCCTGGACTGGACACCGCAAAGCAGAGCATGGGTGGCTCTCTCTTCATCTGCTTTTGCCATCAGGAGCTGGATTATGCTTGAAGGGCTGTATGTCCTCTTGCATCTGGACGAGGTAACCATAGAGAGAGCCATGTTTTCCTGGGAGCCTGGACAACCTCTGTTCCTCTGGCCATGAAGGTGGAAGAAATGCAGAGGGAGAGTCTGCTCAGATCTAGTGATAATAAAGTGTCCAGGGGCTCTGGTTGCCTGGATGGCTGGGACTCTCTTTCCAGCTTTCAAAGATATAGTCCAGGAACTAAGGAGAGAAATCTTAGGCAGAGGCTTTGTGCGGTGTGAGCTGTGCTGTGAACACCGTTCCTTCAGGCAGAGGGGTGGAGGGTGCTGTTCCCTTCTCCCAAACGAGTGGGAGTGGGGCTTCAGCAGCACCTTAGGAAGGCTTGACATGTGTGACTGCAGTTAAAGGAGGCCTTGCCCGGAGTCAACGGACCCAGAGGGATCTGAAGACTAGAGGCTGTGCCCTCGGCCAGAGGCATGGGACAGAAGAAGGGAGAGAGAGCATGGCTGCTGCGTGGATAAACACAGACTCTTCTTTGAGAATGGGTCAGTGTTGCTTGACTCTTGGGAATGGTGTGAGGACTTGCAGTTGGAATATCAGTCAGGAGCCACTTAAGAGGAATCCTGCCCAAGATGGTGGCCTATGGGAAGAGCACATCCCTGTAGAAAGAGGCTGTGGGCTCTAACCCTGGAATAGGTGAGGGTTATGGGAAACTGCCCACTGAGATGGAGGCATGGCCCCTGGCAAGGTGAGTGGCAGCTGAGAGTCAGGGAGAGGACCCTCCAGAAAACCAAGAAAGATTTCTGAGAGCTTTAAATATCAGGCAGGCCCAGATGGCCTGGAGCTGGTTTACAACCTCCTCTGCTTTCCATTCACCTTCCTCCCCAACCTTGTACCACAACTAGGAAGGAGAGGAGAGGGAGGGCAGCAGAAAACGTCCAGGGACTGCTGAAGTTTTATCAGTGGAGAGGGTCTGTGAGAGGCACAGATAAAACAAGCAAATGTTTTAATTATGTCTTTTGGGTTCCGTTAGTTCAGTGTTGCGTTTACATTTGTGGCACATTGGCTACTTGGGAGAGATTATGGGATTTACCCATACTGCAGAAGGTCAGTGGTGGAACCGAAACTGGAATTCATGGCTATGCCACTCCAGTGCCGGTGACAGGGCAGGAAGTGCAAAGGGCTCTGGAGGGGAGCAGGCAAGAACCACCTCTGGGGAGGGCGGAGAGTGGGTGGCACTGAAGAAGGCATGGCAAGGCAGGTGCTGGGGCTGGGCGTCACTGGAGGGGTGAGGGGCTGAGCTGGGGTGCTTGGCAGGGCAGCTGGTTCTGTGGGGAGCCCCTGGATAGGGCTAGTGGAAAAGGCTTTTCAGAATCCTTTCTCTCCTTCTCTCCACTCTCATCTAGAGCTTCACCCATGACCTAAAAACTCAGGTTACATTGAACTGAGGTCCCGTGCACCGGGCTGAGGCACAGAGGACCCCACTCGTCTCCATCAGCATCTATTTTCATCTTAAGCACCAACGGCACTGCCCTGGGCTCCTTGCATTGTTCGCTTTTCACCTGGACTACTGCACTAGGCTTTTTATCTGTTTCCATTTCTATCCTACCCCTACTCCCTGACAGTCTATTTTCCACCAAGCTCCCAGCGTGATCATTTAAAAATATAAATAAGATGATGTCAGTTCCCTGTTTAAAAAATCCTCTTACTGTGCTCGGAATAAAATACCAGCTTTTAAATATGGCCTGAAAGTGTCTCCGCGACCCGGCCCTACCTCTTTCTGCAGAGTCCTCTCCCAGCCCTCCTCCTGCTTCCCACTCTGGCCACACTGGCCTTCTGCAGGTCGCTGGGCTGCTGGAGCAGTCATCGCAATGATAACTTTTTCTCAGGAATATTCTTCCCCCTGCCCTTTGCCTGGCTAGCTCCAGCTTATCTTTCGGGTCTCAGCTTCAATGCCATTTTCTTAGAAAGGTCCTCTCATTCTCATCATGCTTATTCTCTTCAGAACATTCACCACCAGTCTTTTAATTATGTGTTTATTGTATGTGTTTACCATACAATACTACAAGCTCCACTTTTGTAAACATGGAACCTGCTCAGCTTACCACCAAGTCCCAGAGCCTAGCACAATGCCTGGTATGTTGTGGGTACTCAACACAGTGTGACCACGTGAATGATGTACATGTTGTCTTTGACACACACACGCTGGCCTCCAAGTGTCTGTCTTCCACACTGTCCCTCTTCCAGTGGCCAGGAGGGCCTAAGTACAGTCTTCTCTAGATCTCTCAGCTTTCAAACCCAAAGAGCCAGTGCTCCTGAGGACAGGGCTACCCTTGGAAAAAGACAGACCCATGGTGGAGACACAGATATGTCCCTGGTGATTGTTTGCTAGTTACTTAGATTCAGATTCACATCAATGAGATTGAGTTAAGAATGCCTGCCTTGTAAATCTGTTCTGATGACTAAATGAGTGTGAGAGAAAGGGAGGAGATTTCTAAAGTGCTTACTATGCACTAGACCCTGTGCTATTAATAGGTCCTTTATGTATCAGGACATTCAGTGGGAATGACTTTTATGAACCATCATGTGAACGGAAAAGCTCTAGGCAAGCAGGATTTTGCTTACTTGGCAGAATTTTAGGTCTTAAAGCAAATCAAATACAGAACATTGATATAACTAAGGGTAGCAATCTGCAGATGATCAGATAGAAAGAGATTGAAAACATCAGTGCTGTCTTTTAGTGTGTCCTCTGGCATTGCTCTGAATGCTTTATAACACATTTCATTCCTCCACAAACCTATGGGATACATTATAATGATTTCTGCTTCATAAATGAGGAAACTGAAGCTCAGTGAGGTTAGGTAAATTGCCCAGTTATACAACAGAATGACCCTGCATTTGGAGCCGGTCTGTAGGGCACTGCATAGCTCTGTTTTGGACTGAATTTGTGTCCTCCGCAAATTTGTATGTTAAAGCTCTAAGCCCTAGAGCCTTAGAATGTGACCATATTTGGACACAAGGCCTTTAAAAACGTGGTTTAGGTTGAATGAGGTTATAAGGATGGGGCCTCAATGCAATATGACTTGTGGCCTTAAAAGAGGAAGAGATATTGGGGTGCCTGTGAACAGAGGCAGGGCCATGTGAGGACACAGGGAGAAAGCAGCCATCTGCAAGCCCAGGGGAGAGGCCTTAGGAAGAACTGAACCTGACAACACCTTGACTTTGGACTTCCAGCCTTTAGAACTCTGAGAAAAATAATTTTCTGTTGTTTAAGCTACCTAGCCTGTGGTATTTTTTTATGTCAGTCCTAACAAACTGATCTTACCTTCTGAGAAAGGCTGTGATCTCGCTGGCCCTTGGGCCTTATTAGAGAGGTCTGGCTGGAGGTTGGAAGCATTTACTGAAGGATCCAAGCTCAGCTGCTCCTCCAAGATGCTCTCTGCTGTTTCCATTTCCCACTGTATGTGTGTGTGAAGTGAGTGGAAATCTGGTTTACAAAGGAGAGTGACTCCTGGAGTGGGGCAGAAGACCAAAAGGAAAGAAGAATTGGATCTGGAAGAGGAGGGAGAAGAGAAAGAAAAAGGATAAAGAGAATGAAATGAAGCTATAAACAGGAGTACATGAAATGACAGAAACGAACTGGAAAAGGGAGAGGCAAGGAAGAAACACGTGGGAAAAGGAAGGGAGATTGTTGGAAGTGGCTGAGGACAGAGAAGAGACCAATAGAGGAGGGAAACAGGTAAAACAAAAGTGCAAGGTAAAGAGGGAAGAAGAGGGAAAACAGAAGAAGAGAGGTAGGAGATGATAGTGAGGATGAAAAAATGCAGAAAGGAGGGGAGAGAAAAGAAGACAGAAATAACAGGCTCTGCTTTCCCTGAGAGCCGGCTGGCGTGTGCTGCTATATCTCCTCTGCTCAGCCTCTCCCTCCTCCCACTGAAGTTGGTGCCATGCAGTTGTGGGCCAGTTGCCTGGAGTTAAGAACACAGAGCTGGACCTGGGGAAGGGGAGGAAGCCACAGGCTACTGGGCAGCAGCCCTTGCCTGGGCGCCTGCTCTTTAGGCCTCTGTGGTCTAGCATGAATACCTAACTTTGCTCCCAGTAGGTCCCACGTGCTAAGAACTTCAGTAAGCTAATTTCAGTGAAGAGAAAAAGGAAGGGAGAGAAAAAGACAGGGAAAAGGAGAGGCTGGCTGGGGACTGGCTGACACCATGATGTGAGCAATGACCAGTATGAGATCCCCGGGGACCACAGCTCCATGCCAGAGCCCAAGGGATGGGAATTTGTTTCTTCACCCATTCATTCCAGTATTGTCTGGCGTATGAATCTGGGAATATGGTGAGAAAAGGAGGACAGTTCCTGCCTTCCTAGTACTTAATAAGCCAGTGGTGAAGAGGGAAGCATGTTTGCAAGGGGAGGAGGTACACAGTATATCTAAAAGCTCATGATCTAACAGGTGACTACTGAGATCCTGTTTTCCTTGGCAGATAACGCTTCACGGAATTGGCTTCCTTTCTAGGGCGCTACTTCCTGCTTGCCCAGGGGTTCCCCTTGGGCCATTGGTTTCATGCCTGTCTACTGACTAATGATCACTAAGCCAACTTTAGCTTGTCACCTCATTTGAGGCTCACCAAAGCAGGTGGGACAAATGATCTGATGCTACACAGCCTTCCTCTAGAAACTTTTATTGTAAGAGGAGACGTTGTCCACCCAAAGGAACAAATCTTAATACTGGGATCTTACACAAGAGGATCAGGGTGTCTATTTTTAAAGTGAAGAGATGGCCACCTGGAACCTTGCCATCTTTCACATACTTACTAAACCAAAGTTCTGAAGTCGGAGATGGAGCCAGTCGGGGGACAGAAGACTGTCTGGGAAAGTCCTGAAGTCTATGTCAGCAACGCTTGTCTTTCTGAAATTCAGTTTCTTTCCCCACTGTATACTGGTGCCAGTAACTATGCAAGTGTGTGTGTCTGTGAGGGTGGGGATATACCACAATAACTAAGTCAGCATTTCTTCCAAAGCTCACAATCTAATGAGAGGGCAAACAAACATCAATGACTGTGGTTGTGGTAAGAGAACTAAGTGTTATAGAAGGGGGAGAAGTCTGGATAAGCTTGAGATGATGGACTATAAATTGGTCTATGTAGCATGAACAGGGCTTTGTAAAGAGAAACAGGCATTGGTAGGAAGAACAAGCTTTTGGAAGGTGGAGCAAGCTTGGTAGGAGGAGCACAATTTCTAATGAGAAGGGGTGTTATGGTGCTGAGATTTGTAAGAGGAGTTGCACTTTGTGAAGGCATGCGGGCTTTGTAGGAGGCACAGGGATTTAGGAGGAGCAGGGCTTTTCTAGAAGGAATAGAGCTTTGTAAGGAGGAGTGGGCTTTGTAGGAAGAGTAGGGCTTTTAAATAAGAAACAGGGTTTGTATGATGGGCGGGGCTTTGCAAGGAGAGGCTGGGCTTTGTAGGAGAGCAGGGCTGTGTAAGTAGGAGCAGGTCTTTGTGAAGAGGAGCACATATTTATAAGGAGAAACAGTGCTTGTAGCAGCATCAGGACTTTGTAAGGTGGAGCAGGGATCTGTAGGAAGGGCAAGGCTCTATAGGGAGAAGTAGGGCTCTGTAAAGGAGCAGGGTTTGTAGGGGGATTGGGGCTTTGAAGGAAGAGCAGGACTTTGTAAAGAGGAGTTGGACTTTGAAGAAGTGGGGATTTCTAGGAGCAACAGGACATTGGAAAAAGAAGCTCTCTTTAAAAAGGAGGACTTTGTAAGTAAGAGCAGGGTTTGCAGGAGGAGCAGGGCTTTGTAAGGATAAAGTGGAATTTGTAGGAGTGGTGCTTTGTGAGGAGGAACAGTGCTTTGTAGGAGAAACAGGACATTGTTAGGAGGAGCAGGGCTTCCTAAGGATAAGTTGGGATTATTGAAGAAGTAGGACTTTGTAAGGATGAGCAGGGCTCTGTCTGAGGAAAAGTGATTTGTAGTAGGAGGAATGCTTTGTATGAAGAACATTGCTTTGCAGGAGAAGCAGGGCTTTGTAGGTAGAGTGGGGCTTTGTAGGGGAAGCAAAGCTGTTTAAGGAAGATCAGGGCTTATAGGAGGAGCAGAACTTCACAGGAAGAATAGGGCTTGCTGAAGGAGCAGGACTGTATGACAGCAAAGTCGTGAAGGAGGAAAAGGCCTTTGTAAGGAGAAAGAGGACTTTGTGAGGAAGAAGAGGTATCTGTAGAAACAAGTTTTGTAAAATGGAGCAGGGCTTTGTAGGAGCAGCAGGCTCTGTAGAGAGGAGCAGGGCACTGTAAGAAGGAACAGGACTTTGTAGGAGGAGCAAGACTTCCAAGGTTTCCTTGGGAGGACTAGAGATTCTTTGGAGGAGCTGGGATTCCAAAGAAGAGCAGGGTTTGTAGGAGGAGCAGGATAAGGATAAGCAGACCTTTTGAGGAGGAGCAAGGCACTATATGCAGAAACAGAGCTTGTAGGAGGAGCAGGGCTTCCTAAGAGGATCAAAAGTTCTTTGCAGGAACAGGTCTTTTTAGGGAGGAGAGGCTTTTGTAGTGGAGGTGCTTCCTGAGGAGCAGTTGGGCTTTGAAGAGGGAGCAGGTTCTGTAGGGATGAGTGGGGCTTTGTAAGGAGGAGCAGGGCTTCTTAGAAGGAGAACTGTGTAAGGAAGGCTGGGCTCTGTAAAGAGGAACAGGGCTTTGCTGGTTTCTACTGGTAGTGATCGCTGCATATTTGTCCTCTCCAGGCATTATTCTCTATTTGATTGCTAGTGGCAAATCCTGGCACTGCAAAGTCCACGGCAAGGGTTGGGGTGCCAAGTGGGGTTGTACATGGCTTCCAGCAAAATACTACCTGCATGTTCCCCAGCCACACGAAGAGCAGAGTGACTCCCAAGCTTCTCATGCCTGGCCTGAGTGCAAGACCCCTCTTTCCCTTTCCAAACCAGTGAAAAGATAAGTGCTGAGCCTGTGTGGACAACACACTTCTAAGACCTAAAGCAACTGTGACCTCTTTTTGCAAATGTAGGGTATGGCAGACATTAGCAGGTCACAAAACTTTCCTCTTCCTCCTTGGGATGTGGCTTCACTAGGTCCTCCGGCCTTGCTTGCTGTTAGGTGAGGCCATGTGCTGGCCAGTGACATGTGATGAAAGCAATGTGTGCTACATGTTCCAGCACTTCCCATGCACAGTCCTCCACATTCTTTCCCATTCTGCAGCAGCCTTGAAGAGAGTGGAGCTCAAATACAGAAGGAAGCCAAATTCTGCTCAGAGGAAAGCTGCTTTCCCTATCTCACCGAAGGACTGGGGTTTCTAGCTACCTCCAACGTTTCACTAACATTAAGACAAAGCTTCAGGCATCAAAATCACAATGGGGCCGAGCTAGAAACCATCACAGTGTTCCTGACGTAAATGTCTTGCTTTGGCCTAATGAATTCCTGAGGCAAGTGCACATGGAAAGTATTAATAAACAAAGCTTAGCTATCTAACTGGCTGAAGGAAACAGTCTTTCTTTCAATTCACTTGGGCCTGCCTTTGATTCCTAATTACTTTCAAAACGTTCTTTTGGATTTGATTAATCTAACAAAACAAAAAATCCTTCAAGGGTGTGTGTGTATACACCTTAACTAGTATTTGAGGGACAGTGTGCCATTTTAAAATAAACAGCTGAAGAATCCTTAGAAAATATTTATGATCTCAAATACTCAATAAATTTCAATAAAATTTGCTACAGGACTAGTACTTAAAGGAGATATTTTTAATGAAGGCTGCAATCTACAGTGACTAATATTAAAGATGACAAACAATAATAAATTATGCAATTTAATTTTTAATAACAAAGATACTGTATTTTAACATGGTGAAATATACTTGGCTAAGTCCAGATTAAAAAAAAAAAGTATCTAGCCCAACAGTACAATTATACAGCTTTGTACAGAACATTCCATAGATCAACAGAAAATACATTTGAGCACAAAAATAAAAAATATTTAAGGAGAATCTCTAAGCAGCATTTTATTTCTGCAAAAGACATATCTTGTACTGATTAAATATCTACAAGTGCTTTTCCTTTACAAAAATACATATATTCTTAATAGACTAAGTCATTAACAATGACCTGGTAATTCTTTCACTTCAATTTGAATGATTTATAAGCTAAATCTTACAACCACAAAAAGGTTTTTATTTGTATTAAGATGTTACCACTTTTGACAAAAAGCTTAAAATATTTTATATTTCAAAGGAAAATTAGCAACATAACTTTACAATATATTCTATGATATTTTGATTGTGAGGGCTACTCTATTTAAAACTGATGATCTCTGTTGTGTTGCTCAGATGCAGGAAAGCAGCAGAACCCTGGTACTCCCCCAACAAGCTCCTGTCGTGGACCACAGCTTCATAAGGACACTTAGGCCCCCACCCCCATTCTAAAAAATACAACAAAAGAACACCAAACAATGCTAGGCTGATCCCATTACATTTTTAATGTGTAGAACTCCTGCTCCAGTGGACTGATGTGCAGAGGATGGATAAATAAATTTGTTGACTATCTCTCCATCACCCAGAAATATTTAATCTTCATTTGCACTAGATTAGTTTCTTATTCCATGAAGCTCCATAAGATGGAAGAAAACTAGACTCAGTATTTAACATATCTGTTTCACTTGATTCTAGATTTAAAATTATTAAAGTTAAAAATCTCTGAAAAATCAGTCTCAGTTTGGAATTATAGAAAAAGGGGCATAGCAAGTATACAGACACATTTGAATGAGCATTTAAAATAATTATTTTTAATTTTATAACTTTCTGAAAGGAAGTGCTCGAGCATTTTAATTTTATTTGAAAATATAAAGAAAGCAAGTAAACATTATTTATGAAAACTGTATTATACTAGGAAGAGAATTACTTAAATTATTGGAAAAACATCACTGCAATAAAAACTATTGAACACTGTATTGTACATTTAAGTACATTTGAATGAACTTTCAGTCTGATATTTTCTGTCAAAATGCTACTCAACTAGGTTTGTCAGGTAAATCCAGAACAGTTATTGTGTGCCTTGAAAGGGTTTGAGTCTCTGGTGTATTTAATATTTTTCACTTTTTCATAAACCAGATCTAGCAGACATGTTCCTTATTTCTACCCAAACTGTAGGAATATATATTACAAAATATTGATAATTGCATTTCAAGTTTTGTGTTTCTAATCCAGAAAATTAAAGTTATGGCAAACTCATTCATTTTTGAAGTTCCTACTACCAACCAATATCTTATTAGTATAAAGCTTAGCTTTCTGGAAAATTCCTTATGATAAACCAGAGTATGTAATAGAGTGTGCATCCATTTTCACCCTATCCAAGGAGTTTTACCTAGTGACCTATCAGAAAGACTCCATAAGATGAGTTTTACCTTTAAGGTAGCCCATAGCATGAGTTCCCAAGGAGAAATGGTACAAGGGGGATATGGAACTTCCTCTTGATGTACATGCTTGTTCTGTGACCCATTTTGTCAAAGTTGGCTGTATGGCTAAATTCTAATAACAATAAACTAAGTGCTGAGAAACAAGACCAAGAGTTGAATTTTTTTTGGAGATGGAGACTCGCTGTGTCACCCAGGCTGGAGTGCAGTGGTGTAATTGCGGCTCACTGCAACCTCCACCTCCTGGGTTCAAGAGATTCTCCTGCCTCAACCTCCCATGTAGCTGGGATTACAGGCGCGTGCCACCACACCTGGCTAATTTTTGTATTTTTAGTAGAGATGGGGTTTCACCATGTTAACCAGCTGGTCTCGAACTCCTGACCTCAAGTGATCCACCTGCCTTGGCCTCCCAAAGTGCTGGGATTACAGGCATGAGCCACTGTGCCCGGCCTAGAGTTGCTTTTTAAGGGGAAAAAAACCACAGGTCCTTATGAAATATTTTGAATATAGAGAAAGCACTTACTTATATAAATCCCATAGAATGAAGTCTTTTCTATACAAGTAAGTGTGTTGGCACTTTTACCAAAGTCTGCCTTTAATAAAATTTCTCATATTATGAATAATACAGGAGCTAAATCTAAGCTTAATTTTAGTTAACACTGCCTCCATGAAATAAAAACCCTCTCAAATTAAAAATCTGAACTTTCTTTTCAAAGTATGTATTTCTCTCACTTTTCATGCAGAGGAAGGCTATTTGTTGTGTTTACCTCTTTCTCATCTTTGAGGATTTAGATTTACTAAGATCTGTTAGATGATGCTGAAAAACAATGAACATATTTGAAAGGAAGTGTGTTCTGATTATTGCAAGAAAAGCCTGCATTTGACTGATCTCACCAAGAAAATTCAGTTTAAAGCCTTTCTTTGGTGATATTTTAGCAATTAATCAAGGTTATTGCCTAACTATATAAAATTAAATTGCAATCTAAAAATTTCCAACCTCCAAACTGTTAAAACCGTCTCTCCAACATGGTTATTAATTTACTGTAAAATGTCTTTGGTGATATCTATATTCTTATGAAAATCTTCCAAAAAAATTAACTTACAAGAGCCTATTTAGATATGAAACCATTCATAAGAGACAGGTACAGATAACTCAAACTTTATGCAGTAAATTTAAAACAGAAATGCACTTTAGTAATGAGGCACTTTCTCTTAAATATTTCAGTAAAGCTAAACAGTTCACAATATTATATAACACACTTTTTTTCCTTAAATAATCAGTTTAAATTTAGATTACATTTGAGTGTGTAATGTAGTTGAGCAAAGTCATTACGTTTATAAAATGTGGCACATTACTATGGGATAGATGTTTAATGTATAAAGAAATAATATACTCCTCTAAGAGTAGTTAAAAGGCATTACCCAAGTTACCTGTACTCCAGACTGAGTATTACCTCATCAATGAGCATTTTAGTTTATTTTTTCATACTTTGTAAAGCTGTTTTGCTAATCTAGAGAAAAGGCCATACATATTTTGATTTCTCTATTAACTGATGTGATTACTTCAATTAAAGTAATGTTTATAAACCACAGTCATTCTTTATATCTAAGTTCCCTTGACCCTTTTATACTTATAATTTCTAAGGCAGATAAAAGAGATAACAAAATCTTTTATGGAAGTAAAGGTCTTTCAGTTTATTGCTTAAGAAACAACAGATTAAAGAAAACTTTTAGTTTTAGTCTCTGATGTTACAGATTCAGATGATTCCTATAGGTTATTTAAAGAATTCATTTTATCATTTTATAAGCACCCTAAATTTATAAAGCTAACCACAAAAGTTGCCTGTACATTTTTTCTATACCTAGTTTCTTGCAAATTCTACAATCTGACTTAAGGGATAATTAACGGGGAATACAGTGTATTACTAGACATGAAAGTAGTCCTATCCTTAGAAAGCTGTAGTTGAATATACCAAAATAAGTCAGTTGAAGAAATCTGTGATTCTAGTAGTAATACCATATCACTTAGGACCATCAAAAAAATGTGTACCTTTCTCCAAACGACAACTGATGCCTTTCTTTATGTAAGCTTTTCACGTGTTTTGGCACATATTCCATTGCATTTCAATAAAAATGTTAATGCATTATCAGTAAATAAAAGAATTCTATATAAAACTATTCTCAGTTTCATAATTGCTTCCTATATATTTCCTTGGAAAATAGTGAAATTACATATGACAAGGCAACCAGCCAAATTTAAAGAGATTTTGTAGATAAAATTCATTTATGACCATTAAGTTTTGGCTGGGGGGCCAAAACATCAAAGTCTCACTTGTGATTTTTAAAATGCACTCTTAATTCATTTTGAGTTAATTAAAATTCCATTTGCAAAACACTATTTTAATCGCTGACCTAGGTGTGACAAATTTATAATAATTTGTAAAAGTTCTTAGGGATGTCTGGGAACAGTTTCACACCATAGAAAAATAATTTCTGTAGCTAGATAGTAAATTCAGTTTTTTCAGCCATTTATAGTTAATGAAAATCTGCCTTTTAAATTCTGCTTGTGAGCCATTCCAAGAACAAAAACAATGTAACAAAACAAAGTTAAAGTATTGCCATAACCTTTTTCACCAAAGTTGGAACAACAACAGAAAAATTTAATAGACTTTTTGACTCAAAAAAAGATAGAAGGAACAGATAATTATGAAGTTTCAGCCTTTTACATAGTGAAATATATTAAGATTTAGCTGTACTTTGTATGTTTGCTAGAGTTGTACAATATCTTATTTCTAAGAATCATTTTGAAATTCAGAAGGCATTGATTTCTGATACATTTTACTGGAAAATGTGACACATTTACCACATATGCAGTATAAAAACTAAATGTGTGTAACACACAGATTGTGCTCGTCATATTTCTCAAATATTTTTCCTAACTTTCAAGATTTTTTCCTAAGTTTCAAAGGTTAGCTTGTTTGTTTCAAAGCAATTTCCAAGTAAGGTTTTTGAAAACTGTAAATATTAAAAGATTTAAAATGACAGTTTTCATATAATTTAAGGTAACAAGACTTTCTTTGACTTGCAGACTAATCCTAAAACGAATGGAAGACTTAACAAAACTGCAAAATACAGGACATTTTGTATTTCTGATCTTAATGAACTCATGTATAAAATAATAATCTTCTCATTTCCCCAATTACTACAGGATTTAAAATAAAATACCCTTAACCTATTAATTTTGGTTAGCATAGTTCTATACTGCATTTATTCTATTTTATGCACATAGTTTGGAAATGTGAAAGGTAACTAACAGTTTTAATCTACAACTGTTTTGAGACTTTTGAAATCCATAAAATAGCTAATGTTATGTGCTCTAAAAATCCTAATATTTAAAATCGTCATAACCCTCTGCATGCCACAATGACATATACCTAAGGCCAACTTAAAAAGAGAAATAATGCACTCATTAAATAACAGCAACAATGTAATGATACATGAAATGGGCTATACAATGACGTTTCATGAAGCAGCACCTGCTTGTCATAAGGCATTATGAAAGAAGATTAACCTTACTTACACATTACTTTTATCAGAAGTAAATGTGATCAGCTGCCAACATTTTGAATGGTTGGGAATCTAACTTCAGTTCAAGAGGTCACATACATTTTCAATCTGGAGGGCTAACATGCCTTCCTTGTGCAATTGGTAGACTACACGGACAGATGCTTAGAATGTCTACAATTATATTGTGCTCTAATGTTACAGAATAATTGGAATTCTTGGCAAAAGGACTTGCACACTCAAGAATGAACTTTTTTTCACACAAAAAGCTTATCAAGAACAAGACAGTGGCTCAAAAACCACTTTTCTAAATATACTTCCATACAAAATAATTTCAAGATATAATTATTAGTTTCTTGTAGAGTACGCTATTTAAACAAGAATAAAAGAGTAAGTATGTGAAAACTGCAACACCACAAAAATTGAGCCATTTTACTAGTGTAATTAAACATTAGAACAATCTTGGAACAGGCAAGCAAAATATTCAGAAGGGTGAATCATGGCGGCACAGCTAACTGATTTTTACCATGACTTGCACACTTTGAGACAACACAAATACCTTATGCAGATGGTTCAGTAGCAGAATGGCACTTGGTTTGCTCCTAATAGAAACAACATGAATGCAACTGACAATTTAGAGATAGACAATGGCCTTATTTGCATGCTGAAAATCTGGTTGTGTTCCTCTAGTCCACACACCGTTAACTGTGCAATCTGTTGACGAGTAAACAAATAGTGCAGGATTCATCTCAGTGAGGTCTGGGCCCCTTGGTCTAACCGAAATCAATTCTTGGTCGATACTGCAGTACCATAGGGTATGACTACAAAATAAAGACAGATAATAAATAAGACTGTATTTGGATAAAAACAATACAGTTTATATATGAAAGATTTTAAGAATTCGGAGTTATAATTTACAGTATTTCCTGGTACTAGTGATTACAACAGTTAAAATTTGAGTTACCATTAAAACTCTATTTCTTTTGATTGCCATTATTTTTCTAGAATCAGTCAAGTTTTCAGTAATATGCAGCAGAGGTCAAGTTCAAAGGCCTACAGACATCATACAGGTTGTATATATGACTAGTGCTAGCACAACACTTAGGAGAGGCAAGAACTGGGAAGGACTGAAAGTCACACACCCTGCTTATAGGCATTCAGTTAGTAACCCTAGGAGGCGAACAAGACAGATCAGCAGCCTGGATTCCACTAAAGCTTAGGCTGGTGAGAGCCCACTAGATCACAAATCAACAAAGAGACCCCCTCTGCTAGGAACCTGTAAAACTGGAGTAGTGTTCACAAATCATATTTCTTACAAGTTTGAAACATTTTTTAAATTTAAAATTTATTTTAATGATCCTTTAAAAATATTGAAAAAGTAGCTGATTGTTACATGAAACATTTAGGTCACTACCTCCTTTCAACAGTTGATACTAATAAACATTTGGATTTGACTATTACATAAAATAACTGAATGGTTCATATTGTTTTTCATGTCACTATGTAGAAAAGGTATCATATATCTGGCTATCATACAGAACTAGAGAGGAAACAGCTTCTTTGGGATAAAGGCATATGGCATATGCCACGCTACCTCTGTGTTTGTTTTTACCCTGTACCATATCTTATAGAACCAAAACATCAGTGGTTTTCCTTTTCTTAAAGCTGTAGATACTCTCTCTTAAAATGAAATTTGAGGAGCTACTTTTATGGAATCAAGAAGGGGCTGAGATGGTCACTGACTAATGTTTCTCCATCTTGGTATACATGAATATAAAAATACGGTATAGAGAACTTTGTATTCTTTCATATAGATAAAAGGGCTAGACTGAGATTTAACAATCCTGAAAATGACCATTTCAGTGCTTACTATAGCTATGCTACACACTGGGAAGACTCAATGTTGGAATCTGTAACCATTCAGCTCAGGATGGAACTAGAGGGCAGGAATACAAATGCCCTAGGTCTTGCTCTCCCAGGTGAAGTACAGCAGATGCTACTACAGCTGTCTAAGGGCTGGAGTAAAAGTCTCAAGACAGTCTCTCAGGGTTTCCAAGGTTTAAAACTTCTAAAACTGTTCTGGTTTTACTTGTTTTTATTTTAAACTTTATTTAGTTCCCCCTGAATCAGATTACCTGGGAGGGAGCAAGACACAGATTATCTCCATTTTACTAAACTCTGGATGTTTCTGAAGCCCAGTGAGATTCTGAGACGACCAATATCCTTTCCATTCTACCTCACCCAACCCACAGCTTGCCCTTCACTATACTAACTGCTCTAGTTTTGCGTTTGATTCCTGATTCTATTGAATTTGCACACTTTCTGCAAATACATAAGCCACTCATTTTAGAATGCATTAATCATATATGGAAGTATCCATTAATTCTACTAGGGATAAAGGTACAGAGGGAAGTAAAATGGCTTTACTGGCAATGCTTGGGATTTTCTCAGTTTCCGGCTGAAAATGATTTTGTTTTCTCCTCCAAGTAGCCATTTGTTGTGTGTTCTATAAGAACATATGAAGTTTAATAATTTTATTGAAATGTGTCACAACACTGAAAATTGTAAAGATATATTTTAAGTTCTATTTGTGTTTTGGTTTTCTGAAATAAAATGGCACCACACTAACAATAATCAAATATGGCTTATAATTACCTCTTAGTGTTAAGTGACTGCACTAAATAGACCTGCGTTTCAGTTTCTAGTCCTCAAGGCTCATTATGTAATAAAAATAAAGAACAGATACTTTCAGAGAATACATTTCAAATAATTTTAGAAAATGATAAAACTGCCTTTGATGTACTTTTTTCCTTAAAGAATGAATTATTTTTGTCAAAACTTGTTTTTAGTGTAGATTTGGAAAATACAGAATGGTATCAAGAAAAAAAGGAAAAGTATTTAAATCCTACCATCCAAAGATAACTACCATAATAATTTTAGTGTATATTCCTCTACTCATTTTATCTACATTCGTTTTTTTTTTTCAAAACTGGAATCATGCTAAACATATTATTTAGTTTCATTTAAATTTTTTATCTATTTAGCAATTCCACAAACCTATTTCCATACCATTTGGTACGGTGCTACATAATTTTTAACAGCTGTATATTATGCTGTTATAGAAATGAACTGTGAGTTATCAGTAAGTCTCCTTTTGCTGCACATTTGAGTTTAGTCCTTTTTTCCTTTGCTATTATAACTTAATCTTAACCCACTGATCTATTTCTTTTGCCCCAGGATAGATTCCTAAAAGCGGAACTGCTAGTTCAAACAGCATACATATTTTAAAGAGCTTTTTGATAAACACTTTTACACTGGTCTTCAAGAAGGTAGTTCTGGCTGGGCGCAGTGGCTCACGCCTGTAATCCCAGCACTTTGGGAGCCCGAGGCGGGCAGATCACGAGGTCAAGAGATCAAGAACATCCTGGCCAACACGGTGAAACCCCGCCTCTACTAAAAATACAAAAAAAAAAAAAAAAAAATTAGCCGGGCATGGTGGCGCATGCCTGTAATCCCAGCTACTAAGGAGGCTGAGGCAGGAGAATCACTTGAACCTGGGAGACGGAGGCTGCAATGAGCCAAGATCGCACCACTGCATTCCAGCCTGGCAACAGAGCAAGATTCCATCTCAAAAAAAAAAAAAATAAAATGTAGTTTTATTTTTCTACATTTTTAAAAGAAATTTGAATGCCCATTCCTCTATAGCCTCATCAATAATGAGTACTATCTTTCCCCACCTCTTAATTTGGCAATTTAATAAGCATAAGATAGTATTTTTTTTTCATTTCTTGACTGCTAAGAAAGTTAATCATTTTTATATGTTTATTAGCCCATTGTGTTTCCTTCTTGTGTATCTTGCCTGATCATGTCCTTTGCTCATTTTTATGAAAAGCTGAGCTTTTTCTTACATATTTGTATGAATTCTTTATGTATTAATAACATTAAACCTTTTTCTATCATACATTGCAAATATATTTTATGATATTTTTGCCATGTGCTTTTAATATTAATAGTCAATTCAATTTTTTTAGGTACAACGTGAAAGGCCATCCCCACTCTGAGATCAGTTCTTCAACTATATTTTCTTCTTGATCTTTTATAGTATCATTTAAAATATTTACCATTTTAAGCCATCATAAACCTATACTGATATAAAATGTGAGGTAGAATTGAATTCCCCACCCAGTCTCAGTATAATTAATTAAAAATAAGCCCTACTAGATCTGCACTGTCGTGCTCCAGCCCCACTGGCCTCCTTGCAATTCTCAAATAACCAGACATAATCAATTCTCAGGGCCTTTGCAGTGTGTTGCCTCAGGCTTCAGTGCTCTACCTCAGATATTCACATAGCAACGTCTCTCAATTTCTTTTGATCAACAATCCACCACCTCAAAGAGGGCTTCTCTTGGCTATCTTATTAAAACTATTCTATTTATCTATTTTACTTTTTCTTCTAACACTATAAATTTTAACCTGTTTATTTTTTGTCTGTTACCATCATTAGTGTAAGTTCCATGAAAGAAAAGATTTGTGCTCATTTTTACTTCTGTAACCTCGAAGGCCTAGAAGACTGCCCAATGCATAATACTCAATAGGTATTTGTTAAATTAATCATTTTACTGCATTAATTTGAAATACCCTCTTTACAGACTCATACATACTAGGGTCTGTTGCTGAGCTATTCTTTTTATTCATATGTCTATGTTTAAGGCAAGACCTTATTTTAATTACTTCAGCTTTAAAATATGTTTTAGTATGTGGTAGTACACATTCCCTCTCATTACTCTTTGTAAAAACATGACTGATCGAAGCACCTGCTGATATTTCCTTATGAGCTTTAGAATGACTGACTTTGTCAAGTTAAACAAAGATCTGGTAAAAGTGTGTTTGGAATTACATTTAACTTTATAATTTAATTGTGGGGTGAACTGGCATCTCTATAAAATGTAATGTACTATTACATATATATATACATACACAGATTGATTAATAAGGAGATGAGAAGAGAAAGAGAGGGGAAGAGGAGGCAAAAAATGTGGCAAAATGTTAATTGATGAATCTAGGTAATCATAAAGAATATTCCTTTGTATAATTATTTCAATTTTCTGTTGTTTTGAAAAATTTTTCAATAGGAAAACATCAGGACTTCACATTGAATTTTATCAAACACCTTTTCAGTATCTACTGATGATTTTTAACCTAGAGTATATATGTATAAAATATATAAAATGTATAAAATATTTTATATTATACACTATATAATATACACTATATTATACACTATTATAATACACTATATTAGTGTATTATTTATCATCTACTTATATTCAAAATCAGATTTGGTACCAGTTTTCTAATTGTGGGTTCTCTGTCAGTTTTTGCTATTAAGAATGGCAAAGTGGAAGGATTCCACCTTTTCTAATGATTAACAATAGATACAGCATAGGAATGATATATTCCTTGAAAATTAGAGAGAATTCAGAACATAAAACCATTTAGTTATCCTTTCAGGAAGTTAACGGTGCATCCTATTAGCTACAAGTTCAATTTCCTTACAGGACTATTAATGAAGACTATTAATGAGCCATTAATGAGGTGTTGAAGGAAGAAGAGGAAATTTGTATGGATTTAGAAATTTGGTCTCACTCCAGTTTTTCTCTAATACTTTGGATCATGGTTTAAGGACATCTTCATTTCTAAGGAAATACATAGGCATCAACACCAAGAGTAAAAGCAGAAAGACACATATTGCACAGGTTATAGCTACAGGCAGTGTTATCGTTACAATTCAGCATTCCCAAATCAGCCATGAGGCTAAAGCAGCTGAAACATCTATACACCTCGGATATACACAAATCTCACCAGCTCAGTTAAATTATTTACCCCAGACCCTTATCTGCATAGAGAGAAGAATGATCTTTCTCCCTCAGACTTGGCCTTCAGAGATGTTAAATTTACTTACTAGATTGCTGAAAAGCTAGGACTTAAAAGAGTATGTATCAAAAAGCACACATTTTAATGAAGGCACGAGAATTCCCATATCATAGCACTGACAAAAGGCTGAAGAAAATTCTAGATAAACTGCTAATTAAACATTTTCAATTAGCAATTTCAAGTGATTCTTTTAATGCTTAACATACATTCATTTGTCCCAACTCCAAAACTGTAACACTGGAGGTAAGTATGCCAGTTAAGTTTGTTATGTAATTACAATTATCCTTTCTCCCTGGCTCCAAGGAAATAAAGATGAAAACTCATTTAATTATTGAAATAAAAGAACGGTGGATTTTATTATTTTATTATTTATTTGTTTGTCTGAAACAGAGTCTTGCTCTGTCACCCAGGCTGGAATGCAGTGGCACAATCTCAGTTCACTGCAACCTCCATTTCCTGGGCTCAAGCGACCCTCCCGCCTCAACCTCCTTAGTAGCTGGGACTACAGGGGTGTGCCACCACACCCGGCTAATTTTTGTATTTTTTGTAGAGATAGGGTTTCACCATGTTGTCAAGGCTGGTCTCAAACTCCTGGACTCAAGAGATCTGCCCGCCTCAGTCTCCCAAAATGCTGAGATTACAGAGGTGAGCCACCGTGTCTGGCCTAAAAAAATAATTTTTTTTTGTCTTGCTATATTGCCCAGACTGGTCTCAAACTCCTGGCCTCAAGCAATCCTACATCCTCAGCCTCCCAAAGCACTGGGATTACAGGCATGAGCCACTATGCCTGGCCCAACAATGGATATTTTAAAGAAATGGTATGATTAATTCACAGGGTTAAGGCTGATCATCAATCACATCTGTACCCAACAATAATCTTTACTATACCCTTGTCTGTTTCCCAAATTTTTAAAATGTATCTTTATCAGATAAACTTTCCTCAGACACATGTTCAACTTTTCTTAGTGCATTACTAAATTAGCTCACTATCATTTTTAAAGAGGTAACTCAAGTAAAGTACTAGGGAAGGGCTAATAAGCAAGCTCATAATTAGAATCAGCTGTTGCTGTTATTTAGCTTCACCTAATTTGGCATTTTATATTTCACTTGTGGTTGAATGATTCACTGAAAAATAACATTCATACAAAGAAAGTAACGTCTCAAAATCCAATATGGAGTAGAGATTTCTCAAGGACTGAAAGTAGTAATTATTAAAAATTCCTGATTCATAAGTAATAGCCTTAACATTTCTAATTTTTTAGTTCAGTAAAATTAAATAGATAATTCAGGAGAACTAAAATAATGGGAAATCTTGGGTATATAAGTTGAAAAGATAAGTTTTTGTAGCTCCAGTAACAGTTTTACAAAGTTAAATGTCTTAGGAATTGAGTTTGGGATGAATGTGCTCACCGCCATGGTGTCATGATGGTCATATGTACAGTCGTGAGTGCCTCTTACCTGATACAAAGGGCCATCCTGAGAGCAGACTTGCGAAGCTGAGCAGTTCAGACACCGAAACTGCGGAGGAGATGAACTCATCAGATAAGAGGCATCCACAACTGGACACATATTTAAAATTGATTATTTAAAATAGTTTAACGTCAAACACAAGAGTCAACATGATTAATGGTAAATAAACACTTTCCAAAAAAATGGTGGTTGTTTTTGAAAAAAAGATTTTAATAACTTAGTAACTGGTAAAATTTAGCTTGAAGTAATTTTAGCATCTAGATGAGTTTTGTTTAATATTCTGCAAATGCAAAAATGGTGGCCTCTCCTTTCCATATCCTTTACAAATACTATTTCCTGGGAAAATCTCACTTCTTGCATACACGAGGGACATCCTCTTTCTTCCATCCCTTCCTCTGATCACTGTCTCCTAGATCTCTTCTTCAACTTCCCCTGAAAGTAATACTGTTCAAGGAAATCAGAGCTCTGGGAGGGACGTGGAACTCCGCTCAACCTGTAAGGCATCTATTTTCTGTTTTATAGTAGGTTCTTTATGTTGCTTTATATTGCTGATTATATATATATTAGATTATATATATATATAGCATTAGATCTATATTTTAGTCACATTTGTGGTCTTAATAGCTAAGGCCCAGAACTGGCATATATCAGCCATCAGATGTTTTATGAGTAAAGCAATGAGTGAACACACTTTAAAACTATTGAGTAGATTCATTTGTAAACCTACTACTTTAAAACAGTTTATTCACATTTAAAAAAATCATTCCCAAATCCTAATTCTTAAATACTATGCTAAACTCTTATTAAATGTAATTTTAATTGTAATTGGACTACAAAACATAAAATGTATACTTTAAAATTATGCATATATGAATTCAACATTGCATACTTTTCAAAATGGAAAAAATTAAATACATAAAAAATATAAGGTACAAATTAACCAGGATATTTCTAACATAGCAAAGTAGGTTTTTAAAAGATATACTTTGAAAGATTTAAATAAGCATTGATTAAAACAAATATATTTGTAGCCTTTTAAATAAAATTTAAGGAATTTTCTATTTTCCCGAAATACTTTAGTAATTTTTTTCTCTAGCAGTCAGTCCTTGATTTTAGGTACAGTGTGCATCAACATGCTGTAAGGCGGGCTCAGCTCGGCTCTCTTTTAGCAACCTTCTCCTTTCTCTCCAAAGAGTCCCCAAGCTCTGGTCCATCAGACTTTGCATAACATTGAGAATTCTAAACAGGGTCAACAAGAGTAAGCTGGAAAGTGGCAATTTCACTAAGTGATTCTTTTTTTTTTTTCTATTGATCTCTTTGGTATCAGTCAAGATGTATATACTTGCTTTTCTTACAATTGCCTACTAATGCAAATAAAGCAAAGGAAGACAAGCATGGTGTAGTAACTTTAGGTGCTGGACTGGCAGAGGTTGCTGGAAGAGATAAAACTAAATCAGGATGAGCTGGGAAAAGGGGGCTGTACTGAGAACTACCCAAGAAAAGGTGAGCAGGAAGAACGTGAGTACACGATGAAAGCTAAGGCTGGATAGAGATATTGACAATAAGCTCTCAGGGATGAAACTAAGTGAAGGAGGAGAGAATTATAGTCATAATAAACGTTAATATGCATAAGTTATTAATAACATTTATGTCAGACACTCTGCTAAACACTTCAGTATATAATATTTCATTAATTCTTAGTTTTACCCAAATTTGAAAGAATCAAAAAACTGAGGCAAAACTAGGAAGCAGGACACAATTGGAAGAAAATAGCTGTAACACATAACAGCAAAAGATTCATATTCAGAACACATAAAGAGATCCTAGAAGTCATTAACAAAAAGACAAACATGATGAAAAAGAACCAAGGGAATGAATATGATAGGTAAGTTCACAGAAGAAATATAAAATAGATGATATGCAGTGTTGGGGAGGATGTCAGAAAATGGGCACTCTCATTCATTATTGGTATGATTATAAATTTCAAATAATATCCACTAAAACCTTTTCAGAGGACAATTTGTATCTATCAAAATTTAAAACATGCATACTCTGCTGAAAATCTACTTCTAAGAATCTAGCCAATGGATATGCTTGCATATATGTAGTAGGTACTGGAACACCTTGCTTGTAATGTCAAAAAATTTGAAAAAAATCTAAATGTCCATCAAAGGGGTGTGTTAATCAAATTATGCTACAGCCACAAAAGGAGTTATTATTAATGTATTAAAAATTGTTTCAAAGTTTACTGATTCTGCACAAGACACATTATCAAATTTTAAATCAGTTGTAAAACAATACATATGATTCCATTTATGTTTCAAAAAATGTGATGACCCCTGGGTATGAATATTGTGAAGAAAGTCCAAGTATTAGATGGATGACAGATCAGATGATATGACATAAGTCCCTTCCAAACTGAGATCTGATTCTGTAATTCTGCATCCTCAATTTATAGATGTGGAAACTACAGGGAAAGTCAGTAGTCACAGATCACATCTCCTGAAACACTATTACTCAAAGGATGGTCCAAAGATCAGATGCATTAGCATCTCCTGGGAGTTTGCTGGAAATACAGTATCTTGAGTCTTATTCCCAGACCTACTGAGTCAGAATCTGTATTTTACCAAGATCCTGAGATGATCTGAATTTGCATTAAAGATCAAGAAGCATGTTTTTTTTTCCTTTTTCCTCCCACTAATAAGAAAAAGATTAATGCCAAGCTTGAGTATAGAAACTTGAGGTGGCAATACTGATACGAACTGAAAAAATTTTACGAGCTAAGTCTGACCAGCTGTTTGTTTTGATTCCTAAAGATAAAAATCTTTCAAAAATGCATCACAATGGAGACAAGGGTCTAGAGAGGGCAGGGACCATAGAAAACAGGCTTAGCCTGAAGTGGAACTACCCCAAGACAAAGGAGAGCAGTGGCACAGAGTATGTATGGTGCAGGTGAAATACTCCACTATTCTTGAGAAATTGAGGCAAAATCAATTATCCTGAGATTCTTCCTAAGAGGCTAGAAGCAGAGCAAGATAAAGGGGTAATCTGAATATGGAGTACCCTTGTCAGAGATGAAAGACTCCACGGGGCAGAGAGTGGTATCCAATATGAGGAGGAAAGAAAATGACAGATCTACTCACAGTGTGTAGAATAGATGAGGAGACATCCCATAGTGCCAAATAGAATAAAAAACCCGCAAAGATGCCAATTCCAGCCAAATCAATCTAGAAATATAACGCAATGCCAGTCGCAATCCTATTCTAAAGCTCATTTGGAAGAATAAATGGGTAAAACTAGTCAACACAATTTTCAAAAGAATAATTGGGGATTTTTCCCTAATAGGTACTAATACACATCATAAAGCAACCTAGAAGGCCCAACTATTTGCCTTATAAAACATGTTTAAACTTCATCCAAATTTATCCCAAAGAAAGTAGACAACTGGAGGGTTTTAGATAGGGGTGTTATGTGGCCAGATCTTTATAAAAGGTAGATGATGTGTAATGCTGGTACAGAGTAAGACCTGCTCACAAGAACAAAACAATGTCTAGGAACACACACACACATATGCACACACACACATATACACACATACGCACAGACATGGTGACATCTCAAAACAATAAGGTTAAATATGGATTATTCAATATTCAATACATTGTATTTCTGATTTAAAAACAATTTGAAATAAATTAGAATCTTAACCTTGTGTTTTTGTATAAATAAATTAATCTTGGGTAGCTTAAAATGTTTAATACAAAAAAGCAATAGAAACAAGAAAAAGAACCACATAGTGGTCATTAGTTTAGGAAATAAGCTGACTCCAGCCCAAGGCAGAGCTAGTTAGCCAATAGGTAGACTAATAAGAGCTCTTCAGACATCCTGGCATCTTGCTGGCAGTGGATGATTAAATAAGAAGGGATGTGATCACAACAATATGCTACAGGAGCTCAATCAAGAAATGATTGTTTTAGTGATACTGCTGCATTCGTCCATGTCACTCAACTGTCAGAATTCATCTATTAATATTATAATAATTTGTAATTGGAAGTTGAACAAAAATTGAAAATTTAACAGAAAAAAAGGAAGCTGAGATTCAGATAAATAAAAATTATCTGTAGGATATATTTTGCATAACCATTACCTTGTAAAAGATAACATTTTCATTCAATTTATTCTTTGAACAAGTATTGATTGAGTATATATGCTGGGCACTGCCCTAGGTGCTGGAGATTTAGCAGTGAACAAACAAAAATCCCTGTCCTCAGATTATATTTTACTTGGAGGACAAACAATAAACATAAATAAGAGGCATAATATGCCGGAGGTGGTATGAAATACTATGGAAAACAATAAGGCATGAAAAGGGAGTAAGAATGCCATCGGGAGAGGGGGTTGTAGTTTTAGAGGAGGTCAGAGGCCTCACTGAGAAGGTGAGGTAGAAGCAAAATTATTTAAGTGAAGGGGGTAAAGGAAACGAGGTAGGTGGATACCAGGGGAGGTGAGGGCAAGTGGGGTGTGGTTGAGAAAACAGGCCAGTGTGGCTGGAGTGCTGTGAGGCCAGGGAGACAGAATAAACGAGGAGACAGAGTATCTGGGGAAGACTGTATGGGGGCCACATATGTAGGTCTCTAGAAAGATTCTGAATTTTACCTAAATTAAACATTATTGGAGGAATCAGAGAACGGAGTGGGCATGTTCTAACCTGTCCTAAGAGGATCACGCTGGCTGCTGTGTGAGGTGAAGATAGAGGTGGGACAAGGGTGGTGGCACAGAGCCTTGCTAGGAGAATGGCGATGGTGGGTTGGACTAGTAGTGAAGTGGATGTAGTGAGACATAGCTGGATTCTGAATGTATATTTTGATGGTGAAGGTTACAGAATTTGCTAAGAAAGGATGGATGAAAGAAAAAGGCAGCAATCAGTGCTGACATCAGGGATTTTGGTCTGAGCAACTGGAAAAATGGAGCTACCAATCTTAGAACTATTGAGGTTGTGATGACTGAGGGTGAAACAGGTTTGGAGAAGGAAAGCAACTAAAAAACAGGTTTGTCACACCAAGAAATGAAATGGGCTAATATATTACTTTACTGTTGCACTAAATGTAAAAGGTAGTAATTTTTCTGTTTATTGGTTTAGTTTCCACCTGAATGATAAACCATAGCTACTGAATCACTTTTTGAACTTTTATTAAAATATGCCTTAAACAACCAAAAAATTTAAACTATTCACAAATATGTAATCAGAAAGGTAATTAGAGTAAGGACTGATTTAAATCATAGTCTCTTACTAAAAATGTCTATAAATTAGCTCTTTCATACTTTGACATTAAAATAATGGCAGCTGGGGCAACTTTGGGAGGAGTTCTTGTAAAGAACAAGTGAGCCACTTGTAGAGGTCGTGCAGTGGATGACCACTTACATCTCTTTAACCTTAAGGCAAGTCTATTCATCACGATGATTTCAGTCACTAAAACACACTGCAATGCCCGCTAAACTATCAAAGAAAGCTGAAGTTACATTCAACACAATATTATGTGTAATATCATAATATCCATTCCTCAACAGTATTGGGTAAGAAAGAATTTACTACCTGTGCAATCTGTACCTGGTACCTGGAACATTTTGGTTGTAAGGATTAACTGAGGGTGATTGATGTATGTACAATCATTTAAAACATTATAAAATGTTACAGAAAGGCAGGTTGTTAATTTACCAAATACAAAGGTAGTTAGATCTTTAAAAATATGAGCCACAAACATGTATGACAAGTTCTTCAAGGCCACACACTATTTGGTGGCTGGTGTTAGAATGTAATTTTTTCTTCCTGCTGCTAGCGAAAGCGTTCAGTCTCACAAAGAAGGCTTTAAGCAGGGCTTTTACTACATCTCAAGCAGGAAAAAAACTTCTGATTTACAAATGTAGGTGCTTCATTTATTATTATATGATATCAAGACATTTCTTCTGCAAAGAGCCAAATATCTTACCCATAAGACAATGAGTTTTTGAGGCTTGTTTTATAATAATTCCACAAATGTTTACATTCAATATAAATATGTTTTGGAAATATGGTAACATGGCAACCCTCATTATATCTGGATTCTTATTTCTTATTCTTGTGTGAGGTCAAATTTCTTAATTTTGTTTTTTTTTATGATTTACATTTTCATGAGAAAATATAATAAATCTAGTTTACAGAATAAATTACACAGAGTATGGCATATTGTATCATAAACACAGAATCTTAATGTCCAAAAGATAATCTTAGATGTTATCTACTCCAACCTTATAGCCAATCTTAATTCATATTTATTTATTTATGCACTCAGATTATGAAGATAATTTCTGATAGCATTACTGCTATATTCCTTAGTGTCATATATGAGTCCTACAATCCCTAGTACCTCAAATTTGCCTAATATCCCATGCTTGAACCTAAGTTATAGTTACTACTATAGAACTTAGTAGAACCTAAGTTACTACTGTATTCCTTAGTCTCATATCTCAGTCTTATATATTAGTCCTACAGAATTAACCAGAATCAAAGACATAGTTCAAAATACAAAATTCACCTTTTGGGTTTTTTGGGTTTTCTTTGGTTTTCTCCTTTGAATCATTTCTCCCATATGCTTAGGGCCTAAGGCACAATAATCTAATTCTGGCATCAGAAAGCACTGCAAACTCACTTACCCTTAAGTCCGAGTTTATATTTTCAACGAAAAGGAGGTACCTGAAAGAAGATTATTTAGATTCTACCCTATGTGTCCCCTCTACCACAACCAAAAATAAACACCCTTATCAACCATTAATCATATTAGGGGAGAACTTAAGTTTCCCCCACTCCCATTCCATATACATAAATGTTCCAACAACTTATTGGGTTTAAAAAATATGTCATTTTCTCTGTCTTGGTTAGTAGAGTCCTGAACATATTTAGATAGGGTTTTAATCTCACTTTAAATCTAATACAATCACATTTACCACAGACCTTGATTTTATACATAGGACCAATTATCAGAGTGCTAGGAGAAACAGTAGCAAGAAAAACCAGTTTCTTCTCCTTCCCAAGCTAGTTTGTCTTTTTTAGTTTCTAATATTGTTAAATTTGAGTAACATAATGGTATATAACTAAATAAACACATAGGTAAATATAAAAGCAATTTACGTTTTCGCCTCTTAGTCGCCATCTTGTCATGTAGATGAATTCCATAGTATGATCCTTCCCCATAATTTCACCATTGCACAGCACATCCAACTTTAAAAAGAATCATTATAGATCTATTAACATAATGTTGAATTCAAAAGTATTTTGCATATTTTTTGAAATTTCAAAAAATATTCAAATAGTTGGAACAAAAGTATTATCCATTATTTTAAATAGGAGGCATTTATTCTCCTAAAGCATTAACAATTTGGATATGTTACTTATATACTGTTACTATGCTGTATACTATATACAAGATACTGTTTATCTTGTCCCATATACCTGTATCTCAAGTTCATACACATAATTTACAAATGCAATGTAACCTTTCTTAGTCCAAATCTCTGTCATGTCTCTTAGAGGTTTAAGGCATAGTTCTGTGACTGCCCCTTTCTGAACAAGAACCTGCAGAAACCTCACAGTTCCTCTCAGCTCCTTTGGCTTCTCAATTCCTCTCTCAGAATTCTTTCACCTTCCTGAGATTTGAAGGGGTTACTATCTTCTTATTAGTTTGGGGTTGAAGAGGGAAATTAATGAATGTGGATACAGTGATTTATGGGGCCTTAAAGGTATATGAGAATTTTCAGTAATTACCAATATCTAATTTGATACAAAAGTTACGACTATGCCACAGGTCTGTGTCTCTTAGGGCTGTCTGGCTTCTCTGGTTTGCCTGGTCAGTGATTTGCACAATACTTACAGGATCCTCTTCCCACTTTGCACAAAGCTTCAAAAAAGCATACTTATCAGCGTTAAGTTTTGCTCGAAGTTGCAAGAACCGAACAACCCCTAAATCTTTAAGAAGGCTACAGGAACTGTGGCTATAATTCACTAATTCAAGAAAGCATAATTAAGCAAATGTTTATCATCGATCCCTACAAATAATATAACATTTTAGTTCTCTAGCTATTAAAAACAAACTGGAAAGATTTCATTTGAAGTGTGGGAGGGGAAGAAGAATGAGTTTTAAATAATTCTGCATCTGGCTAGACAGAGACTACAGTTTTGAACTTTAAGATGAGTATAGTTTCAGTTAATTGTATTAGACATGTGAAGCAAAATTATTGATTTTTTGATGATTTATGATGACTTATACGGACCTCAAAATGTTTTTCAGGCATCATTTTATTAACTTTTGAAAGAATAAAGGAGATAATTTCATTTTTATCTTTTTTGTAAATTAATTCATAAGCAAAGTAAAGGGTCTCACTTAGGATGCATTTTGCTAATCAGGTATATTGCATCTGTTAATGTCGTTTAACAACTAAACTATCTTGCCCCAGTTAGCAATGCTGTTACAAAAGCTTCAGCTGTCAGGTATTTCATTAAATAATCCCCCTGCATACTAGGCAGCAAAATAAGGGGGGAACTGAAAAAGATTCCCAAAAGTCACAGGAAAAGTCCTTTGCATTGGGATACATAAGGAGGTGTCAGCGTACTGAATCTCTCCCCCTTCCATCTTTGTTTATAGCGAAATATATACATGCCAGAAGTAAGACTATGTAAGAGTAACAGTTCTCTTAGTAATAACAGCTTTCTAAAAATTAGAAAATGTTAACTCAATGAATCAGACTTAAAAGGAAATAAAACCATACATGGTATTTTGCGTGAAGAAAATAAAGTGCAAACCAAATCATAAGAACAATTTATTGTCTATTTTTCACTGTAGTTGTATCCATACATTGTTACTATCATTTATTTTTACCAAGTACATTGGGCTTTATAGTTAACTTCCATAATTTTTTCCTAATACAAACGTTGATGTCTCTAGAATTTTAAAAAATATTTGTAGAACCATACCATAATAACAATTTTCAACCCATAGACTAGTCATCTGAGAGAAATTTTCAAATAAGCTCAGGATCAGCGGCTTCCTCAAAACATGGACATAATACCTATCAATGTCTATCACATTTTATGTCTCCTATGATGACTCTTCATGATATTCATATTACTGCAGATAAGCCAGAAAAACTATGCTGCCTTTTCTTTGATGTCTTTGTTTATATAGGAAACTAGTCCTGGTCTTTAATTTTCTTTTCTTTTCTTTTTTTGAGATGGAGTCTCACTCTGTCGCCCAGGCTGGAGTGCAGTGGCGTGATCTCGGGTCACTGCAACCTCCGCCTCCCAGGTTCACCTAAGTGACTCTTGCCTTGTCCTCCTGAGTAGCTGAGAATACAGGCACCTGCCACCACACCCGGCTAATTTTTATATTTTTAGAACACACAGGGTTTTACCATGTTGGCCAGGTTGGTCTCAAACTCCTGACCTTGAGTGACCCCACTAGCCTCCGCCTCCCCAAGTGCTGGGATTACAGGCATAAGCCACCACGCCTGGCCTGGTCTTTAATTTTCTAGATGCTACTATCAGAACTCGAAAGGGAAGAAGGGGAAATTAATGAGTTGAAAGATCATCATTTAGGCAGGTGAGAAATGATATTTCCTTACTATGTTTTAGTTATAACTCTAGGATTAAAAACATTCTCTAAACATGGAACACATGAAAAGCTATGCTGTGATTAATATCAGGGCAGTTTACCTCTTCTGTAAATAAACTGGTAAATTACATTTATGCAGCTATAATATGTTGGTTATATCTACTGCTAAACAAAACCACTTCTGCATTTCACGGAAATGTGATTACTTATGAAATTCCTTGTGATAAAAAGACAATGTTTTACATTCTGAAGAAGTCTATAAAGAATTGGTAATAATGGATCTCAAAGATCTCAGATAAAAAATGACATGCCCTAAGGCATGAATACATTTAGCTGGTATATTTATTTTGGGAGTACTTAATGTTAAGTTCTTTAAATATCTCCTCTAATTATAAAACACTAAATGTATTAGTATCATAGTTTATTCAGGATATGTTCAATTAGAGTACACATATTACCTAAGTAGAATAATACATTCTGAAAATTAAATTTTTAACACAAAAATAATCAAAGTTTCCACAAAAATTAATTTGAATATATTCTCAGTTTTCACTTTTGTTAGAATTTTACTTCAAATCAGAATTATCAAAATGATCAAGCTTAGATATTATTTAACTTACCTCATAAGAACTTGGAAGTTTTAGTTTTAAACTTAGAAATTTTTTAATAGTTCCCACAGTTACACGTGTAGAACATCGAATGAATTTCTTCATTAAACCCTAAAGGAAATAAAGATTACCAGTTAAAATGTTCTACCAGTTAAAATGTTCTATCTTGCTTCTGGTGAAACCATAGCTACCAGTTTCACTATCATTTTGAGTATTTTTAAAATGTATTGTGAAAACATTTCAATTTATAGCTTTTTAGTATTTGCGAGTAAAAATATTCCTAATTATTGGATACTTACATGACATTCTTCAAGAATATATTATCATGTGTACTAGGAAAATCCTGGCAAATAGGCAATCTGCTTACCTCTAGACATTTTAGTAAAGAAAACATGAGCTTAAAAAGAAAAAAAGGTCACAAAAAGCATAAAAATATATATATTTTTTATTATTTAAGCTTTTATTATTATTATTATTATTATGCTTTAAGTTTTAGGGTACATGTGCACAACGTGCAGGTTTGTTACATATGTATACATGTGCCATGTTGGTGTGCTGCACCCATTAACTGGTCATTTAGCATTAGGTATATCTCCTACTGCTATCCCTCCCCCCTCCCCCACCCCACAACAGTCCCCAGAGTGTGATGTTCCCCTTCCTGTGTCCATGTGTTCTCATTGTTCAATTCCCACCTATGAGTGAGAACATGCGGTGTTTGGTTTTTTGTCCTTGTGATAGTTTGCTGAGAATGATGGTTTCCAGCTTCATCCATGTCCCTACAAAGGACACGAACACATCATTTTTTATGGCTGCATAGTATTCCATGGTGTATATGTGCCACATTTTCTTAATCCAGTTTATCGTTGTTGGACATTTGGGTTGGTTCCAAGTCTTTGCTATTGTGAATAGTGCCACAATAAACATATGTGTGCATGTGTCTTTATAGCAGCATGATTTATAATCCTTTGGGTATATACCCAGTAATGGGATGGCTGGGTCAAATGGTATTTCTAGTTCTAGATCCCTGAAGAATCGCCACATCGACTTCCACAATGGTTGAACTAGTTTACAGTCCCACCAACGGTGTAAAAGTGTTCCTATTTCTTCACATCCTCTCCAGCACCTGTTGTTTCCTGACTTTTTAATGATGGCCATTCTAACTGGTGTGAGATGGTATCTCATTGTGGTTTGATTTGCATTTCTCTGATGGCCAGTGACGATGAGCATTTTTTCACATGTCTGTTGGCTGCATATATGTCTTCTTTTGAGAAGTGTCTGTTCATACCCTTTGCCCACTTTTTGATGGGGTTGTTTTTTCTTGTAAATTTGTTGGAGTTCATTGCAGATTCTGGATATTAGCCCTTTGTCAGATGAGTAGGTTGCAAAAATTTTCTCCCATTCTGTAGGTTGCCTGTTCACTCTGATGGTAGTTTCTTTTGCTGTGCAGAAGCTCTTTAGTTTAATTAGATCCCATTTGTCAATTTTGGCTTTTGTTACCATTGCTTTTGGTGTTTTAGACATGAAGTCCTTGCCCATGCCTATGTCCTGAATGGTATTGCCTAGGTTTTCTTCTAGGGTTTTTATGGTTTTAGGTCTAACATGTAAGTCTTTAATCCATCTTAATTTTTGTATAAGGTGTAAGGAAGGGATCCAGTTTCAGCTTTCTACATATGGCTAGCCAGTTTTCCCAGCACCATTTATTAAATAGGAAATCCTTTCCCCATTTCTTGTTTTTGTCAGGTTTGTCAAAGATCAGATAGTTGTAGATATGCGGCATTATTTCTGAGGGCTCTGTTCTGTTCCATTGGTCTATATCCCTGTTTTGGTACCAGTACCATGCTGTTTTGGTTACTGTAGCCTTGTAGAATACTTTGAAGTCAGGTAGCGTGATGCCTCCAGCTTTGTTCTTTTGGCTTAGGATTGACTTGGCAATGCGGGCTCTTTTTTGGTTCCATATGAACTTTAGTTTTTTCCAATTCTGTGAAGATTATAAAGTATAACTTCTGAAACATGAGGGACATTTTCTAAAACATGGTATCACAGCTTTTAAATAATTTCAGAAAGAGCAGTGATGTCAAATGGGACCCTGAGGAGCCATAGGGTTCAACAGAGAGAGGCTGGTTAGGCCACAGCATGCCCCAGAAATTAGAAGTTGCATAGTGTGGACCTTGTGTTGGGGAGAATAGTGTCTGATAGGCTGTGCCAGTACTTTACTGGAAGAACAAACTTCTCTGTGCCTGATGTGTCTCATTTGTAAAATGTGCAGAGCAGTACTAATTCACTCTTTAAGCTTGACTATCACTAAAATATAAGAACCAATCCAGAAGGGACACCCAAGCTGAAAATGAAGTAAAATGAGGTTGTAGACATAATAAACACGAACCAATATGTGAAACAAAATTACATTCCACAACCTCAAAAGTTATCAGAATACTAAAACACACAAAACAACAATAGAATCTTTTAAAGATATTACTCCTATTTGTATGTATAGGAAATGAGGTCAGCATCACTAAGTCACAACTGTTCAGTCAATGTTTATTTCCTAGCAAATGTTTTCCTAGCAAAACATATTTCCTGGCAAAGACCAACAGAAATAAATTAACAAATAACAACCTGGTCACAATACAGATGATAAAATATCCATTAAAAGAAAACAGAAGTTAAAAGTTACATCTAAATCAACACATATTCTACCCATTTCAAATGTGAAGACGGATATTCTAGACAGCATGAAAACAAAGGGATAAATGTACACGTCTATCTTCTCTGTTATCTGTTCACCTTCTCAACTATCCCAAGGTTTCCTGTCAATTTTCTTCTTGCCCCAAACAGCTTACAAAGAATCATTAGCACATTTTTACAAGCCCCAGTTAAGTCAGAGAAGAATATAAGGGTGTAGGTTGATCATCCCCAGTCTGAAATCTGAAATGTCCCAAAATCTGAAACTGAGGGCTGACATGACACTCATTCATTTCAGATTTGGGAGGTTCAACTGTAAGTATATACAATGCCAATATTCCAAAACCCAAAAAACTTCTGGTCCCAACCATTTTGGATAAGGGATACTCAACCTGTACTGGAAGACTCTTAATTTGTGTATTTTTCATCTGTCAAGAAATTAGGAAGAATCTCCAGAAATGATGTTTGTATCACTACTTACAATCTTTCACAGATTAATTATAGTTTTTATACTATTCGCAAAGTTGTACAACCATTACTATGATCTAATTCCAAAACATTTTCATCATCCTCAAAAGTAACCCAAATCTATTCACAGTCACTCCGCAACCTTCCCTCCTCCCATCCCCTGACAACCCTAATCTACTTTGTCTTTATCCTTGTCTGGATATTTCGTATAAATGGAATCACATAATATGTGACCTTTTGTGTCTGGCTTCTTGCACTTAGCATAAAGTTTTCAAGATTCATCTATTTTGTAGCATGTATCAGTACTTCATTGCAGTTTATGACTGAATAGTATCACATTTCCTTTCATTCTGCTTTTCCATTCATCAGCTGATAGACATTTGGGTTGTTTTCACTTTCTGGCTATTACAAATAATGCTATTATGAATATACATATACAAGATTTTGTGTGAACATGTTTTCAATTCTTTTATACAGTAGTCCCTCCTTATCTGCAGTTTCACTTTCCTTGATTTCAGTTACCCAGTCAATATATCACTGTCCAAAAATACAAAATGGAAAATTCTAGAAATAAACAATTCATAAGTTTTAAGCTGCATACAATTCTGCATAGCATGTTAAAATCTTGCACCATCCTACTCCGTCCTGCCCAGGTTGTGAATCCTCCCTTTGTCCAGCATATTCATGCTGTATAGGCCACCTGTCCATTAGTGACTTAGCTATCTCAGTTATCAAATTAAAAAAACCAGTATATACAGGATTATTTGGTACTATCTGTGGTTGCAACATCCCCTGGGGGTCTTGGAACATATGCTCCACAGATAAGGGGGGGACTACTGGATATGATCACATACTTAGAAGTGGAATTACCACGTCAACTCTTTGAGGAACTGCTAAAGTGTTTTCCACAGTAGCTGCACTTTCACCTTCCCACTAGCAACGTATAAGGTTTCAATTTGTCCACATTCTCTAACATTTATTATTTTCCTTAAAAAAAATTTCTGGCCATCCTAGTAGGTATAAAATGATATCTCATTGTGGTTTTGATTTGCAGAGCCCCAGTGACTAGTGATATTTAGCAACTTTTCCTGTGCTTATTGGTCATTTTTATAACTTCTTTAGAGGAATGTTTATTCAAGCCTTTTGCCTTTTTCCAAATTGGGCCATCTTTTTATTGTTGATTTATAAGAGTTCTTCATATACCTGTACATTAAAGGCTTATCAGACATGATTTGCAAATATTTTTTCCCGTTCTGTAACTTTTTTCACTTTAAGTGTCCTTTGATACACAAGAGTTTTACATTTTAATGAAGTTTTACATTTACAATTTATCTATTTCTTTTCTTTTGTTGCTTGTGCTTTTGGTGTCATTTCTAAGAATCCACTGCCAAATCCAAGGTCATGGGAATATCTTAATTTCTCCTTCCTTTTGGAAGGCTATAGATTTTTGATGAATATAGACTTAACTAGTTGACAGTTTTCTTTCTTTGAGCACTCTGCATATATTATCCTATTGCCTTCTATCCTCCACAGCTTTTGGTGAGAAATCAGCTACTAACCCTACTGGGGGTCCTTTGTGCATGAGTCACTTTTATATTGTTGCTTTCAAGATTCTCTCTTTGTCTTTGAATAGTTTGATTATGATGTGCCTAGGTATGAATTTCTTTGAATTTATCATACCTGAAGATTGTTAAGCTTCTCAAATGTTTAATATTTTTCATCAAATTTGGTTGGTTTTTAGGGGCCATTATTTCTTCAAATATACTTTCTGTCCTTTTTTCTCCATTTCCTCTCCTTCTGGAACTTCCATTATGTGTATGCTGGTAAGCTTGATGGTGTCTACAGCTCTCTGAGGACCTGTTCATTTTTCTTCATTCTATTTTTCTGTTTCTCAGACTGAATAATCTCAATTCATTTAACTTCAATTTTACAGGTTCTTTTTCTTTGGCTCAAGTCTGCTGTTGAGCCTCACCAGTAAAATTTTCATTTCTGTTGCTATACTTTTCAACTCCAGAATATTAAAAGACATTTAATATTCTGTATTTGGTGAGATCATTCTTGTATTTTCATATAGTGCCCAGACCATGGTTTTAGTTCTTTGTGCATATTTAAATAGATAATTTCAAATCTATGCCTAATAAGTACAATGTCTGGGCTTCCTCAGCGACAGTTTCTATTGACTGCTTCTTTTCCTGTGTATGGGTCAAACAATCAGCTCTCTGTAACTGCAGTCCTGCATTTGTGAATTCAAGCAATCACAGATCAAAAATATTTTTAAAAACAATAAAAATAACAATAATAAAAATAATATAGTATTAACAACTACTTACATAGCATTTGCATTGTATTAGGTATTACAAGTAATCTAGAGATGATTTAAAGTATATAGCAGGTTGTGCATACGTTACGTGCAAATACTACACCATTTTATATAAGGGACATGGGATCCACAGATTTTCTTATCCATGAAGGGTCCTGGAATGAATCCCCAACATATACTGAGGGACCACTGTATTTGTTAGTATCTCCCATATTTTGTTGTTGTTGTTGTTGAAACTAGACATTTTAAATAATATAATGTTGCAATACTGGAAATCAGATTCCTGCCTGCTCTTCAGTCCTAAACTAATTCCATAAAGTCTGTATTCTTTACCATATGTAGTCATGAAAGTTTCTGCCTAGAGGTCAGCTAATAATGGAACAGAGATTTCTTTACACATCTGGAGCCATTAAGTTGCTCAGTCTTTGCCAAGAATCTGGGTATGTGTTTGGGGGCATACCACCAATATTCAACTAAGGTGTTGACAACTCTGCCTTAGTCTTCACTTCCTACTCGTGCAGACCACCTCAAGGTGAGGCAGAGGTGAGAGCTTAGGGCCTTCTCAGGTCCTTCCTGAACATGCATACAACTCTACATATGCACGTGGCCCTCTAGATTTCAAGGAATATGTCACAGCCTTTTGAAGCTCCTAGGGACATCTCACTCTCCAGCTTTTCCATTTAAGCTTTTTGGTTAGTCTCTTGTTTGCTCCAAATGTTATCTATACCTCAGGCAGTTGTAAAGTTGAAACATTTGCCTGTAATTGTTTTTGACAAATGCCCCTTTCCCCCACCCACAGAGAAGGCTTTTTCCATGGGGGCAAGCTCCAAGTCAAGTCGAATACTGACAATCTTGTAAGTGGGGTCTCCGAGGAAACAACCAGACAAGTCAAATAATGACCATTCTTTGGCAATGAGGCTTTGAAAAAGCTCTACCTCTGTTCTTTCCCTTTGGTCCCTGAGAGGCTGCAATGGGAAAGCAGGCTGTTATTTTCAAGGCTACTGCAGAATTTGAGCAGGGGCTGGAACTAAAGCAAGTTAAAATGCCACAAAGCTCACCCTTTATACTGATAGTTAGTCATCTTCTTGATAAAATGCTCTATATGCATCTATAAGCCTTTGTTTAATATCAGATCTCTGAAAAAGCTGACACTGAACATTTTTGCCAGTATTTTTATACTTTCATGGAAAAGTGAATTTTCAGAGATACTTACTCTACTCTTTTTATTGACATCCCACTCTTGACTTTGACTTCTGTATTATAAAAGCAGTAGATATTCTGTATAAACTATACATGCAACTACTGCCCCACCACATTTGTGAATCACATCCTACTGCAGAGGAATGAGATGGCTGAGAAGGCTATAAAGCAATACAGACATTGTGTCTCTGCCACTAAGGGATTTACAGTCTAGTATCAAGGACAACACACATATAAAAAAAAGATAGTATCAGTGCCTAGAACTCTTAGGCACATCCTTAATAGATAACAAACTAATCCCTAATTGACAGATAAATATAAGTACTACAGAATTTCAGAAAAGGGATTCACTAGGTTGGGAAAAGCGTCACAAAAAATAAAAATCTCTGGGTCTTGACAGAAGCATAGGATGGTGGAAGAGGAAAGAACACGCCAAAAAGGAAGGGTTGTTCAAAGTTTTAGAGGTCTTAAGTATTCATAACACAAGCTTTTATATAATCTAGATACAGATCTTTTGTCAGATATATGGTTTCCAACACACACACACACACACACACACACACGAGGTGGAGGGGAAGAGACAGAGAGAGAGAACGAACACATACATAAAGGAATAATCACTTGTTTTGAAAGGACGATTTACTAATGGGTTTAATGGGAGATAAACTTATTAAAAGAGGTGCTTGTTAGGGAAGGGCCTTGAATACTAATGTAAGGAGTTATGACTTAATTGTACAGGCCAAAAGGTGGCAAACTTTTGGCCTGTACAATGACCATGTCCTCAGGCCAAATCTGGCTGGCCATCAATTTCTGTAAGTAATGTTTTATTGAAACACAACCAAGCCCATTCATTTACTATTGTCTGTGCTGCTTTAGTGCTATAATGAATAAGTTGAGTAAATTGCAACAGAGACCATATGGCCTACAGAGCCTAAAATACTTACCATCTGACCCTGAGATTGGTCATGGCCCTCACTCTGGGCCTTACACACACTCAGGCAAGTGGCCCTAGCCCTGGATAACAAAAGAAAAATTAAGGGTACAGAAAACACTTAATAACTACTTAAAAAATGTAGATATAAGGGTGAGCAGCACTAAACTGGGGGAATTTTGCAGGACTTAGTGACTGGTTGAAAGAAAAGAGTAACAGATCAAAGATGACGCGAAGCTTTTGAACTTATTTGATTGGCTGAAAGACAGCAGTCATAACTAAAACTGCATGTTTGGACCAAAGTTAGATGAAAGTATAATGAATTAGACAACTTAGACAAGTCAAGTTTCCGGTGTTAGTGAAACTCTCAACTGGTCTATTTAAAAATAGAGACATAACACTTCAGCTTGGGAAACAAAGCAGGGCTGGAAATGAGGACTTAAAAGTCCTTTGCATAAAGAAGAGAACAACAGACATGAGGCCCTACTTGAAGGTGGAATGGTAGGGGGCGAGACAGGATTGAAAAACTACCTATTGACTATTATGCCTATTACCTGGGTGACAAAATAACCTTACGCCAAACCTGTGACACACAATTTACTTATGTAAGAAACCTGCACATGTCCTCCTGAACCTAAAATAAAAGTTAAAAAATCCTTTGCGTAGTTGAAGCCACACAGAAAATGGAGAAGATCTCCTAAAATAGATACAGAGAAAGTATTAGGACATACTTACATATATCAAGTAGAAGGCAAGAAGTAGAGGCAGTGGAGACAAAGCAGGAATGCCACAGGAAAAAAAGGAAGAATCAGGGTAGCTTAGTAAAAGTCATTTATAAACTAAGAATGAAGGTACAAGGATGAAGAAAAGTCCATAAAGGAAAAAGTGAATGGATAAAAGGTCAACTAGAATAGCAAAGTGTCAAAGATGTCAAAAAGGAGAACAACAAGCAGGGGTGGTTAATTTTTCAAATAAATTTCTAAAATTCAATCTTTTATACTTTCATATGAGAAATCATGCAGAGAAGTGGACTTTACGTTTGTTTATGAGAAGATATTCAGCCTTTCCATTGATTTAACTTTCAGTATGAGCTAACTCATGTATTGGAGAGCTAAAGGATGACCATGAACTCTATGAAAAAGAACTTCCCAAAAAGGGGGATGACTTTTGGGAAAGACCATAAGAAACAACTGAAAATACTGTAAGGATAAATAGGTACAGTGGTCATTTCTCTAAAGATAGATGCACTTTATTACATGCCCTGTCCAATAAATTCCCCTTAACAAAATCAATTACCTTAACTATTTGTATGTATAAGACCTAACCAAGTTCCTTGAGTGAAAGATGTTTTTTCTTACTACTTACATCTTCACTGTCTACTGTTCACATAGTGGATAAATATTCACTGAATTACTGTGCTCATATATGTTGTTATAAGATGCCAGGAAAACTTAATCTGAAGTGAAAAATTGTTTTTCACTTCCTAATAGGAAAATGCCATTAAACGTATTAGTAAAAAATTCAACCCACTAGCCTATAGATGTACACAGAGGAAGTAAAAGAAAATTAGAGACAATGAATATAGGCATTTGAATAAAACACAGAATACAGAGAGATAAACAATATTCTCAGTGGCTGACATTTGCTAGGATAAAGTGACAAAAATCTAACAGCTGAAGTAGTGAAGATTTGTAATAAAAATAAAAGCTGCTTGTAATAAAAAGGTAGAAAACATTATTAAAGTAACACCATTTAAAGACCAAAGAAAATCTATAAAAGCAGAGTGTTTTAAACTTCCTATAAAGATCCTCTAAGGAAAGATTCAATTAGCAGAGGCAGAGGAAAACAGTACCAGAAATGGAGATTCTATAGGAAATAACTGAGGGCCTTCAAGGAGTTTAAAAGTTCAGAGGCATTTTACAACATCTAATTTTACTTCAAAACTAATTGATTAAATTATTCACAAAATATGTTAGCTCTGACATGGAAATCTTGTTGAGTTGCAAATAAAAATAGAGAAATAAAGGATAAAATTAGAAGAGAATGAATAAAAGGGCTAGAACTACCAGTGACATGAAATTCTCTAAGTCTAAGTTGGTCACCACTCTAAAAAACAGAAACCATGCATATGAATTTCCAGCAAAGGTATAAAAGGAGAAACAGAGGTGTGATTCTGGGCATTAGCCACTAGATGGTGGCATTGGCCCAAGACAGTTCAGTTGTGGGAATAGTAACCATTTCTAAGCATAGGATTGTCAAAGAATGGCATTTTATTTAATTATGTTAATTAAAACTTTGAAAGCAAACATTTTGAAGCATTAGAAAATTTGTCAACAAATTATCAAGGGTTTACTATAAACTGATCATAAAAATACCATAGTACTTGTTCACTCACCTTTACTACATTGTCCCCTGATTGCCCATTATTTCGTAAACAATCTAGACAGATAGCAATTTGTGGGTCACTTCTGTGATAATCTTTATCATCTTCATTTTCATCACCTTCTTCATCTACTTTCGGTTTGTCAGCTTTTGAAGTATCATCTGTATAATTTAAACAAAACTAAGTTAGCTATAAATCAAAGTTGATTTTAAAGTTAAGCAATCATACATTGATAATCAAAACAAAAATCAACTTTAAAAAATTTCCTAACAGTTTTTGAAGAAGAACTTAGTATCTTTAAAATGTTCCAACCAACTCAGCAATGGAAATATTTTGTAAAAAAAAAAAAAAAAAATTGGAAACTTATTAACATAGCTTAAGATTTCTAGGCTCATTGGGACATCCAAATGAAAGATTCAGGACTAGCTGTATTTAGCCAAAAAAATGATTACAATTAGTAATTAGACTATGTTAGAAAGTGGACAGAATATATAAAAATACTTCCAAATTATTTATAGGTGTATATATAAATTATACTCGTTTATAAATAAGTATATATTCAAATTAAAACCAAATACTTTTCAAATGATAAAATTAAGTTCTCAAAATTTCAAATTACTATTCATAAAATCAGCCAGTGAAAAAAAACGAGTATAATGAATTAGCTTTTTAACATGTATATAGCTATTAATACATAACATGTTACAACTCCATTAAAGATATCTCAATGGCATACTTTATATTATATACAAATGTATTTCACCTATTACAAACCTGTAGCCTATAAATAATGCAGCTATATTTATCATTCATCTGTTGAGTAGTTCTAACTATATGTTGGATACACATCATACAAGGCCTGAGGGAACAATACTGAAACTAGAGCTATCATCCTCTCTCTCACAGTGGTCAGGGTATGGAATCAAATAAAGGCAAGCTAAAAAAAAAAAAAAAAGAAAAAACCAGACAAATACAGGATGTGAGAGGTAAAATGGACTATGCATGCACATATAAAAGAGACAATAAACCCAAACTTTGGGAGTGAAGCAGGGACGATTTCCAGATGAGATACCTCTAAGCTAACACTTGAAAAAATCAGCCAGCTAAACATTACTTGTAGAAAAGCTTCCCTGCAAAGTGACTGGCCAGATCCTTTTTGATGACTGTAGTAAAAGCACTACAGGTATACCATAGAGCGGGGAGGTGGGTTCTCTTTTTTCTACATGTTTTCTTCTCCTTATTTATAGAGAATATACATAGATAGGAGTTGCCTTCTATGAACCAAACTCCTAGCTCCAACAAAAAATCTGAATTCTCCACCCAAGCTAAAGACCAAATACCAGAAATACTTTAAAATGGGAGAAACAATAGGAAAAGGGAGATAAAATTCACAAAGTAGGCTACAGCCCTTCACAAGTTAAACTGTGATACGTAGAACCATAGAGTAAACCTACCACGTAACTTCTGATGACAATCCCTCAGGCTCCTGTCCTCTTGAATAGGCAGTCAAAAACTGGAATATTTAATTAGCCTTATCTTATCTGTATTTTTACTAGAGCACTACTACTATAATTGGTTGTTATTGTTTAATTGCAGTGTACACGTGGGTAAAACAAGCCCTAGTTATTTTTTTGGCCAGGCTTAGCTTCTTTGCCATTTTTTTGTTGTTGTTGTTACAGATAAAAAATAGTCTCTTGTTACCTTATTCTAGCATCAAAACTATTCTCAAACTTCCCCTGCTCTAACAGCCTTGCACAGTTAAGTTGAACGAATAAAATGATAATCTCCATTTTACAGATTAAAAAAGGGAGATCTCATCCACCTTAATCATGTATAATTGACAATCCTATGATCTTATGGGAAAACCAAGATTGGGAGGCTGAACTTACAAGTGACCCTATAAGAACACACACACATTCTTGAATAACTTTAAATGATATTTAGGACATCCTAAATTAAATCTCATATTTAAAAAAATGGGAGCGATACTAGTTTCTTATAATTTTAATATCCCTTTGTGTAGATTTTATACATATATATATATATATATATATATATATATATATATATATATATATATACACTAAAAGCCTTTTATCTGCTCAGTAATGTTTGCCCCTTTGCTGAAATTATTATTAAAAATTACTAATTGCTGAGTCTTTTGGGACCCAGAGGAGAAATCTGGGTGATGGAGAAAATTCCCATAAGCACCCAGAAATACTTTCTAAATTTCCATGATGTATAAGTTTGTATCACCTGAGCTCTACTTATAAAAACTTCATTCCAGAATATCAGAGCATAGTAAAATCTCCTGATCTGGCTCTCAGCCACATCTCAGCTCCCTCTCCTTTAGAGGCAAACATACAAAATAAAACAAAAAACTCTTCACTGTTTAGTTGCAAGCTGTGGCTATTTCTTACTTCAGCTTCCTTTAGCTCCCTAGAAATTACCACTATAAACACCTAGCCAATCTTCTCTTTTATCTCCCTTTTCTCTTCCCAAAGTCCAATTTCCTCTATTTCCAATTACCCTCACTAAAGTGACTTCAGATTTACACTCATTTATATAAAATCTCATATAGAGAAAAAGGTTCGTAATGTAAATAAAAGGGTGCATGAATTTTGTGCAGGAAAAATGTGAGCCTGAAGAGACATATTAGTTCACCTAAACTATGAAAAGCTGACCAGTTTAAGAGGTGCTGTCAGAAACAGACATAAGAAAAAGTCACCTTGTCCATTTTCTTGAGGCTTATTTTTCTTCCAAAATTCAGATTCACGCTCAAGTTCTTCTAATTTAAAAGAAAGAGTATAAAAGTAAAAGTCATGAAATCTTTAATAGAAGTGTTGATTTCATAAAACACAAAAGTCTGCAAGAACCTAAAGAGCCACTTACGTTCTCGTAGTCCAGGGACCAGCTTAAATATAATTTCCTCTAATGTATTGTCCAACCTTCGAAAGGGGGGAGAAAGAAAATACTAACAATGAAGACACCAAGATCTGACATGTAAATAGTCTGAGATGTATAATCTTATACATGTTACAAAATACATACACAATTTTAGCACATCTACTATACCATACTCTTCTGTCCATGGAACACACTTATTTACAGCCTTCCCCAGTAGTAGACTGATAACAAAAATGGTCCCAGTCCCCAGCTCTCTCTATATCCAGACTCTTGAGCATGACTTTGAAACTCCTCCCTTGACTAAGGATGGAGTTTATTCCCCTGCCTTGGAAATACGGTCTGGCTTTAAAACTTGTTGAGGCCAGCAGAATGTGGCACAAGTGACTGCTTGGTTCTAAGCCTAAGCCTTAAGAGGCATCAAATGCTTTTGTCTCTATTTCTCTCTCTCAGAATCCTGCTACCATGAGAACAAGGCTGGAGGATGAGAGACCACGTAGAAGAGAGCCAAGCTGCCCTGCTAAGGCCATTTTAGACTAGTCCACAGACAGCCCATCCCCCAAGATCAGCACAGCAGATTACCCAATGCACAGCTAACTGCAGTTGCATGAGTGAGCCCAGCCAAGACCAGATGAACCACCCAGCTAACTCAGGGAACCAGGAGGAATAATAAATGCTTGCTTTTTCAAGCATCAATTTAGGGGTTGTCTGTTATGCAGCAACAGCTGATATGCCCATTCTCAAAATCTCTACCACAGCTCTGGCTCTTTCCTCTAAAGGAAATAATCTCCATTCCTCTCTTCTGAGAAATTTAGACCACTTTATTGTTCTACCTTCTGAAATGAAAACTTTAAATGTTTATCTTGACATTTTTCTCATTTTCTTTCCTGCCATATAACTCATCTTTTTCATGGCCTTTTGTCTTCAATCCCATTCTCTTGCCCCCACAACACCCCCTTCCTGCCTCATCTCCTTCATCCTGCTCAACAACATTACTCTTCTACAAGACTACAAACACATAGAGGTTTCTCACATCTTAAAAAAAACCCCAAAACCTTTCTCAACTCATTAACTCTTTTCAAACTATTATTCTGTTTCTCAATCTTTCCTTCTAACTGGAAAAAAATGTGAAAATAAAACCTACATTATTTCTGTCACATACTCTGTTTTGCTTCTTTTACTCTACTGAATTCTCAAAATCATCTATAACTTCCATATTGAATAGGTTTAAAATTTTTAGAATTAAAATTTAAACTTAAAAATTATTTTTTAAGTTTATATTTCTTCTATATTGCTCTGCAGCAGTTTGACAGTGTTGTCTAACACTGCCTGCCTCCCTGAAAATTTCCTTTGTTTTTTTTAATGTTCAAGTCTGTTCTTTCTTTATTACTAAGCATTTTTCTTTTTCCCAGCTACTTTTAAATCTGATATTCTCCCTTGCTTTGTACTCTGAACTCTTTGACCTTTTCTGTCTTCCTTGTGGATTTCATCTGCTTTTGTGGCTTCAAAACTAACATATAGGCAGATTATCTATCTATCTATCTATCTATCTATCTATCTATCTATCTATCTATCTATCTATCCATCTATCCATCTATCTATCTGCCTGACTATATATCACATCTCTGCTGATTTCAAGTTCCATATTTCCAACAGATGCTAAACATTTCAAGTACCTCCTTTTATTAATCTATGTCAAGATTGTCTCATCTATCCTCCTCCAATAAAATACTAAGTAGCCCAGTCATTGTCTCGCTTTTTTTAAACTAAATTTTTAAGTGATACCATAATTTTTCCAAATCAGCTCAAAATATGAGAATGATCTTAACTTCTCTCTTTCCCTTCATTTACACATTTACTCACCAAGCCACATTCAGAGCTCCCTCTCAATATCTGTCCCACCTATTCTCCCAACAATTCTTCCATTCCTTCAATTAATTACCATTCTGCTTTGAGCAGAGCAGAGACATGTTCATAATCAATCTTCCTAAAGTGCTAATCTGATTGTGTTAGTTCCCTGCTCAAGGACTAATTTCTCTCTACTACCTGACTTCATGTGTTTATATAACTTGAGTCCAACCTACAAACCATAACTGGTACTATTTGCTCACTGTCTCCCTTCTCTAGCCAACTGGCTTATTCAATTATCCCAAGAATTCCTTGTCTTTTCCAATTCATTTTTCTCCCTCATGTTTTACATCCTGGCTCAAATACTCTCTGTACTCTCCGACCAAACCAATGCTACCTTATTCTTCAAGACAAGGTCATTCGTAAAGTTTTCCCAGACTATTTAATAGTAGGAGTGAATAAAAAACAGCACTTCTCACTACATACAAACAGATCAGGAACCAACTTAGTTTCATTTCTGTTTCCTCTGAAACATTACTTACTACTTTGATGCCCTTTCTGTCCTTCCAGCCCAATTTAGGACTAATCTGTTCTATGGTCAGTCATTAAATCACTTCCTTACATGTACCCTTGATTTGTCTCTCTCTTACTTGCTCAAAATTATTTAGTACAACTCAGGTTAAATCCAACTTTCCATCAACTCTGCACTGGCACCCATGGCTGGATAAAAACACAACCATACTCCTTCAAATTCCTAACTACAACACAAACATGCCTTTAAGTTTGCCAGGAATCATACTACACTCACAAGTGCACTGATCCTCTCACTCCCCTGGACAACACGCTTTTTTCTCGCCCTAACTCTCCAAATCCCTTTCCTCTATCCTTAATTTTGACTGACAAACACTTTCTTCTCAATGAAAAATGTCAAAGCAATGAAAAACAAACTTCCACAGGCCCCGGCCACCATACCTACCTATAGCATCTGCACCATGTACTCGCTGTCTGCCTGCCTGTTGCTACAATTTTTTTTGTCAATGCTCCCACTGAAAACCAGTGTCTCCTCTTAGGCTGTGAGATTGCATTCCCTACTCTCCCACATGATTAACTTTCTGCTTTCTACTGGATCATTCCCTTCAAATACGCCATTATTTCTCCTATATCAAAACAAAATAAAGAACCTTCTTGGCTGCACTTGACAGCACCCCCCCACCCCATTTCTTTGCTCCCATTTGTAGCAAAACTCCTTGAAAGAGTTGTCAATACTATACTCACTGTTGCTAATTCCTCTCCCTCCTTTCCTCTCTTAAAACAACCCAGTTAGGTTTTTGGCCTCACAGCTCTAAAGAAAGTGCTCTTTTCAAAGTTGATGAACTCCATGTTGCTAAATCCAACCATGAATTCTCAGTTTTCACCTTACTTGTACCCATGAACAACAAATGACACAGGTGGATCACTCCGTCTCCTTTGATATACATACTATCTTCACTTGACTTCTAGAGCACCACACACTCCTGGATTTTCCTCTACCTCACTGGTTGTGCCTTCTCAGTTTCCTGTGCTGGCTCCTCCTCTTCTCTCTGAACACTTAATGCTGGAGTTCTCCAGGGCTCAATCCTTGGTCCTTTACTCGTGCCTCTCTGTACTCACTCCCTGAAGTGATCTCATCCTGCTTACAGTTTGAAAGACCTTCTATATGTTGAAGACTACCAAATGTTTTTCTCCAGCCCAGACCTCTCCCTTTGAGTTCTAGACACATATATCCACTTACCTTCCTCTCTTCTCTGAAATGAATAACTCAGCATGTCCACAATTGAAGTCCTGATCTACCCCTTCCTTGCTCTATTATTAATCTTCCCAACTCAGTTAATGGCAACTCCATTCTTCCAGTTGCTCAGGTCAGAAATCTTAAAGTCATGTTCAACTCTTTTCTTTATCCCATATCCTATATCCAATCCACCAGCAAACCTTGCTGGATCTACTTTCGAAATATATTCAGAATATGAGCATTTCTTGTCCCCTCTACTGCTACCACCGCTCACCAGGGTCATTGCAATTACTTTCTAACTGTTCTCCCTGCTTCTACCCTTGCCTTGTTATACGCGCGGTGTTCTCAACACAGTCATCAACATGTTCATATCGGATCAATCCTCCAACCAAAATCCTGCAGAGGCTCCCCATTTCATTCAGAGTAAAAGATAAAATGTTTACAGTGGCCTACATGGCCCTTCATAATCTGGAATCTCATGATCTCTCTGCTCTTGTTGCCCAGTATTCTGTCCCTCACTCACTGTTCCCCAGCCGCCCAGGTCTCCTTGCTGGTCGTCCAACAAGGCGTAGATACACTCCTGACTTAGGCACTCTGCACTGGCTGCTCCCTTTACCTGGAATAGGCATGCTTTCCTAGACCTATCCATGGTTAACCTCTCACAGTCTCCAAGTCTTCGCTTAAGTCTCACTTTCCCACAGAAGCCTATCATCACCATCTTATTTAAAATTGCAATCTGCCCCCACTTCACACTCTTGACCTCCTCACCTCACAACACTTTCCTCTTTCTTGCCTTTGCAATTTTCACTTTCTAACATACCATATAAATTACTTATTATATGGTTTATTGACTGTCTCTCACTACAAAAATATTAAATCTACAAGGGCAAAGATCTTTATTTTGTCTGCGAATGGACCTCAAGCACCTAGAATAGTGCCCAGACACAGCAGGCATCCAGTAAATATTTGCTGAATGAATGATTCCCCTCATGGAGCTCTCCATCTTCCTTCTATTGTCTATATAAGTGATGACCAATAGAAATATAATGTGAGTCAAATATGTAATTTTAAATTTTTAGTAGGAACATTAACACCAGTACTTTATACTTTTTATATAAAACTAACTTTAATGTTTTGCTATATATTAAAATATCTTTAATAATACATTTAGTAATTTTTATTTATTGAACAATAAAGTTATATTTAGTGGAAAAATATTTACACTGCTTCAGGTTTTAATTGAAATTAAATTAGAAATCCCATTCCTCAGTTGCACTAGCAACATCCAAAGTGCTTAAGAGCCACATGTGGCTAATTGCTACCATACTGGAGAGTACAAATACAGACTGCTTGTTCCCCAGGCCTGCTGCACAACTGTCATATCCCTTCACCTCTCTGCTATGCTAGAGTCATTTATTCTTTCTTGGTTTATGCTCCAGCACATCTCCCAATAGCTTACTGAGAAAAAGTACATAGAAGGTAAATTTTTTGCTACATGTGTCACAGGCAATTTAGGCTTCTAATGAAGGAGCCTAAATTCCCCTTATTTCTGGCTAACAAAATCCAATTATGTTCTGGCTGCAATGTGGCCACCTTCAGGGATAATTCATGATTTGTTAAAGCATTTCAAAACCCACCACATCCCTTTACCTAGTGGCTGTCATGTGACCTAGTTTTGGCTAAAAAGAAGCCTGCTGTAGGAAACTTTGGTAAAGATCTTCCCCTCCCCACAACCTCCTTAGTCTCCTGGTATACTCAGGCCTCTGAGGTCCGCTCAACTATCACCATCACCAGTTTGCTTTCTAGCTTTCAGTTTCTGCTGACATCTCTTCTGCTACCATTTCTTCTTATCCTTTAAAAAGTGTTTACTGAGAACCTATCATGAGGAGCTATCCCAGCTGTCAAAGATACAGGATATCTTGTTTTTATTATCTCTGAGTTTATGTCTTTAAAAAAATTCCTTTGTGGTAATTTCGGTGGAATTTTAGGAGGAAAAGATCTCTATAAAGGACATCATTAAATTAAGAAAACTGGAATATGGAAGTTAGGTTAAAGTATTATACCAATGCAATCATACTGTGGTTATGTAATATAATATCCTTATTCTTAGGAAATATACACTAAAGCATTTAAGAGTAAGGGGCCATGACACATGTAACTTACCCTCAAATAGTTCAGAAAAAAATAAAGCATCCAATACACATATGCACATGATAAAGCAAACGAGATAAAACGTTACTAAGAAGCTAATCTGGGTGAACAGAATGCAAGTGGCTCTTGTACTACTTTTATTTGGGGGATTCTAAGTTTGAAGTTATTTCCAAATAAAAAGTTAAAAAATATATGATGTTATACTTTAGCCAAGGGAGCGGGTTTGATTAAACAGTGACTGGATTCCTTCAGGTATCTAATGGTCAGAATCAAAAGATTAAGATAAATTGCCTTATGATGTGGCCCTTTAAGAACAGAGAGGGTAATAATTATTAACTGTCTGTTTTTATTAACAGTTTTTTATTTTAATAAAAATAAGTTATTATAGATTTTAACAGTTGGTAATAATCTTTCATTACAACTGGATATTAACAGTTTTTTATTTTAAAATTAAGAAAAGAATTACTTGAGAGAAAATGTTTGCTTTATTCAGTTTCCTTACTGCAGTACTACTGACATTTGAGGCTGGATAAATTTTGCTGTGTGGGGCCTATCCTGTGCATTGTAGGATGCTTAGTAGCATCCCTGTCCCCTGCCTACTAGATGCCAGGAGCACCCACCCAGATCTGACAACCAAAAATGTCTCCAGATATTGCTAAATGTATCCCGGGGGCAAAATCACTCCTGGTTGAGAGGCACTGATATAGATCTAACCAGAACAAGGCTTACTCAGAATTACAGACCAGAGTTGACCAGTGGTTCCCAAATGTTAGCATATATTAGCATCACCTAGAGAGCTTGCTAAACGAAGTGATCTCCAATCCCAAAGTTTCTGAGTTAGCAGGTCTGATGTGTGGTCTGAGACCTGTCACTTCTAACATGATACTAATGGTTTGGGAACCACACTTTGAAAACCACAGGGCTAGACATTTACCTGTAGACAAATTATCCCAAACAGGCATTAAACTTGAAAAACAAAAGGCTGAAATGTAAGATTTGCAAATCCAGATTTATAGAATGATGGCAAATATCACACAGATAAGAGAGTTATGAAAGGTTCCAGAGACTATCTAGCTCTATCTTTAGATGAGTAGCTTCTTTTTTTTTTTTTTAAGTTCAAAAGTACTAAAAAGCTAACTCCGGAATTGACCCCTTTTGTGCTTTTCACTGGATTCTAGACGAGTAGTTTCTTAAAGATCACACAGGTGATCTGCCTTAGAGCTATGGTGGGAACAATGAAATGAAAATGGGTCTAGTGGTGAGGACATACGGCCTGTAGCTGGGAAGTGGCATTTGAGGTATTCTGTGAAACCTTAAGTCAAGTCATATCACTTCTCTAGATTTCCTAATTGGGAATAAAGGGATTTGGATTAGAATCTCATAGACCACTTCCAGTTTTAAAAATATATGATTAGGCCAGGTGTGGTGGCTCACACCTTTATCCCAGCACTTTGGGAGGCCGAGGCAGGCAGATCACCTGAGGTCGGGAGTTTGAGACCAGCCTGACCAACATGGAGAAACCCTGTCTCTACTAAAAATACAAAATTAATGTGGTGGCGCATGCCTGTAATCCCAGCTACTCAGGAGGCTGAGGCAGGAGAATCACCTGAACCTGGGAGGTGGAGGTTGCGGTGAGCTGAGATCGCACCATTGCACTCCAGCCTGGGCAACAAGAGTAAAACTCCACCTCAAAATAAATAAATAAATAAATAAATAAAATATATATTATATATATATATGATTATACTGCTAAAGTTGAGGGGTAAGTAAATGGTAGTCTTAAAAAAATCTTTTAGGTTTTACATAAATGTTTATATACTTTTTGAATATATGGTAAATTAAAAAATTAACAGTCCTAATATTAGTCTTTCTATGAGTTCTCCCTCTTTCTACTACCATGTAGCTCAACATAACATGGACTATTAAAATACTGAAAATACCTGTAACCTAAAGTCACTCTTACAGCCTAAGAGAAAGTTGTACTTTTAGTTTGGAAATGTATTTCTTAAATATTTAAGATGTAAAACCTTATTTTTAATACTCCTTAATAAAATACTTTAAAATAAAATGCTTTAAAATGAAAATCATAAGTCCTATATTAACTGAGTCAAGACAACATGAAATATTATGACATACAATAAAAATTAAGAGCCTATTCAATTTATGTAAATTAGATGAACTGTAAAATATAACATCCTTACCTCAACATTTCTAATGGATTTGTCTCATGAACTTGGTTGCCACACCTTGGGCAATCATTGCTATCTTCAAAGTGCTGAACAATACAAGTCTTACAGACTAAGAAGAAAGAAGATGTTAGGTTAAAACGCATCATATGAACGCTCATTTAATGTTAAACTAAGTGTAATTAGAAACAGACCTTAAAACTACCTACTACAAGTAGAATATCATTATTTAATTAAGCTTCAAAAACCTTACAATTGTAACACTGTAATAACACCCAACTGCAATAAAAGTCTACTGCCACAAACAAAAAGCATAAATTATTTTGCTTATTGTTTTCTTAAATGCATTCACACACCAAATACTACTCTACTCATCATCATATTAAACTAAAAAAGCTGGTGTATTTACATAAAATAGGTTCTTCTCATTTAAAGAAGTAGGACAGAAAAAGATAAAAACTAAGTCTGCATTTATTTCCTTTGCTAAACATTTATTTAAATGCAACATAAATAACTCAATACAACTTGAGAGTTTTCAACCTGTTTGCATTACTTTTATTGGCAGGGTGCTCCAGGGACAAACTGGGAGTCACAATGGACTTTGCTGGCCTTGGCAGGGTGTAATGAGTTTCTGCTCATAGGTACTATAATTCCATGGAGCACGAAGTATGAATAATGGTATCAAGTTGGGACAAAGGCATGAGAGGTAAATTGGAAGAATGACTGAAAAACTGACAGGGATAAATAAAATTTCAAATAAAGATTCTAAACAAAGACAATGGAAATATGACTTGTGGATTTGGGGCCACAAGCCTATACAGCCCACATTTCCTACAAACACTACTAATCTCTCTGGCTATAAATCTCTCTCATCTTTCACCTAAGCTTCTACTACATACTATGCCAATGTTTTGCCCCAAAACCTTAGACAATATTTACAGTACCTGAACTATAAAATATTAATTCAATTCCTCATCCTAATACTCCTCCTCCATTCTATTACCCCGTATAACCTGAAATTTTCACATGGTATAGATTGGCTCTCCTACTCCCCTTTCACAGCTGCATTTCAAGCTACTTCTTTCTCCTCAAGATCAACACTATCTAAAAGTTTACTTAAATGATTGGTCAAAACTAAACACTAGGATTCTTACAAATGAGATTAGGTTTGAAAATGTGACATATCACATATACTGACCAAAGCAACAATGGTCATGGAAGAACTCTACCAGGTATCTAATTTTAAAATCATTTAGTACATACAGAGATTAGCAGCATTTCCTCTTGTTTGTTTATTCATTGATTCAATAGGAATTTACTGAATGCTAGACATTATATTAGGAGTTGGGGATGCAGGGGCCAACAAAACAAAGCCCAAATTCTTATGGAGCTTATACTTTATTTAGGAAGGCAAACAAACAATTTTAGTTAGTGATAAGTGGTATTTTTACCTGCCTCCCCCTCCGCCCCCCAAAAATAAGATAGAGACAGGGTGCTGGGAGCCGGCAGCTATTTTAAATAAAGTGATCAGGATAGGACCCCTTAGCGACCCCTAAGTTGGTGACATTTGAGCAGTTTTGTTGGATGAATGTACCTGAATCCCATACTCTCTCTTTTCACCATTACACACAGCTATTAGGATAACACTGCCTTCATGACAATTCTCACAAAATGTGGGTAAAAGACAGTATCAGAAAACCTTAAAAAAAGAAAAAGCTTAGATATAAAAGCTTGGCCTAGAGCTATTATGTACAATTGAATACTTTGCCTTCTTCCCAAATTTCTTGTCCCCAAAAGGGTTTCTAAATGTCTTCTCAAGTCAAAATAATCTTTGGGAAGAGAGGACTGCCTTATTATGCCAAGTTGAAGTAGAAGACAGAGAAGCTGAATTCCTTCAGAACATTGCTGGTATTTGCTCTTTTCCCAGGGATGATAGATAAGTCTCTGAAATTTGGGAAAGAGGCAAAAAAAAAAAAAAAAAAAAAAAAAAAAAAGAAAGAAAGAAAGAAAGAAATGAGAGTGGAGGGATTTTAAAAGCCTGATCCTGACATGGAGCTCTGATCTTTGTAGTTCAAAAGGTTTATTGTACTCAACGGGTTGGCAATCCTTGGTTGTCTACCAGGCTTGACCAAATAGAGAGGTATGTGACATGCCCAGAACAAGTCCTCACCTGGATCAGCCAAAAGGCTAAGGGTAGGACCCTATCTTCCCAGAAGCTATACTAAGCTAGGCTGCTCATGAAAGAGTTGTAGGGCTCAAGCATCCAAAGGTGCATACATTAAAGAGTAAAGTTATGCTAATTGCTTAAAGTCAAAGCAGCACCAGTACCCAAGAACAGTGATGGGGAATACTAATCTATATTCTAGATCTGGACTGCCAATAGAGAAGTCACTAGCCACATGTGGCTACTAAGCATTTGAAATGTGGCTAGTTTAAGTTCAGATGTAATGTAAGTATAAAATACACACTAGACTTCAGACATAACCTGAACAGGTAATCTCAATAATTTTATATTAATTACATTTTGAAATGAAAATATTTTAGAGATATTGGGTTAAATGTATTATTAAAATTAATTTTACTTGTTTCTTTTTTAGTGTGGCTACTAGAAAATTTTAAATTATACACATGGCTCACATTTTATCTCTACCAAAGGGTGCTATTCTAGATGGAGACAGAATCCCTCCTATCAAGAGGTGAGTTTATTTTCACACCAACAACTGAGATGCAGTATCTTATTCCACTTTTGCTGGTAAAAAAGAGGTTTCAATAGGCCCAGTCACCTGCCTATTCTGGTGAATGGCAGCAAAAAGACATAAATTCAGGTTTTCTGATGCAATTTTTTTTTTTTTTAGATGGATTCTCACTCTGTCGCCTAGGCTAGAGTGCAGTGGCGCGATCTCGGCTCACTGCAACCTCTGCCTCCCAGGTTCAAGTGATTCTCCTGCCTCAGCCTCCCTAGTAGCTGGGATTACAGGTGCCCATCACCATGCCTGGCTAATTATTTGTATTTTTAGTAGAGACGGGGTTTCGCCATGTTAGCCAGGCTGGTCTCCAACTCCTGGCCTCAAGTAATCTGCCCACTTCGGCCTCCCAAAGTGCTGGAATTACAGGCGTGAGCCACTGCGCCCAGCGTTGATGTGAATTTTTGAAAGCATTTTTTCAGAGACTAATACCAAAAACTGTCTTTCCTGACAATTTTTTTTCAGATAGTTTTAGTAAAAGACAACTTTAAGATGCTGAACAATGTAATATTCTGACTTGCTTTGTTTTTCGTTTGGATGATATACTGTTATTATCATAGTTAACACTTAATGGGTTTACGTACCAGGCATTATCTTAAATATGCACATGTATCCAACATACTATGTCCATGTATGTCCTAATCAACATATATTTAATTCAATACAATTTAATAATCTAATCTTTACTACATTCCTATTAATTAGATAGCATTTGGCCTCTTATAGATAAAAAAATGAGTAGAGAATTTGAGCAAGTTGTCTAAAATTATGAAGCTAGTTAGTGGTTAAAACCAATATTTGAATCCATTTTGTTAACCAATGTATGTGTGATACATTTTCTTCACACTTTATTTACATAGATCTACGATATATAGAAAAAGAATGTCTTACTCCTTATTTTAGGAGCCTTAAATATGTCTACTTGTACAATTAGATCTCCTTTTAAACTGTATAGAGCCCTTTTCAGTAGCTTATTTGTTCCTTTAAAAAAATCTCTAGAAGATACATCTCCCACATGGCTTTTAAAAACTGTTAAAGCACAACCTTACATAAATTAGAACCTGAGGAAATCCAGGCTTGAAGCTCGGTGAAACTGGAAAAAGTAAAATGAGGATTTGGTTTCCCATAGATGCTTAAAAAACTTCTCATCACTACAAAACTCACTTCTAATTCTTAGTTTATAATTTGAAGTCCATACTAGCAGTACAGCACATTTTAAAAATATCTTAAAGATTTCATGCCAAACTCTCTAACTGCTCAACTGCTGTAGTGGTTAACCCAATTGGTCCAAGAATGATGTTAAAAAGGTCCTAGTCTAAGGTTAAGACTATGTATACAGACCAAGTAGAGTCTTCATTCTCAACAGCTACTCCACACAGATTCTATAGCCATAAGAAGCACCTGGGTCAGAAAGGGAGTTAGGCTCACCAAAGATGTCCTCAGGTGGGAAAACACTTAAGTAACAACTTAGCTAATATTTAATGAGCACTAACCAAATATCAGGCTTGGCCTCAGGACTCTGTATGGATTATAGTATGGACAGTTACTATCCTCCCTGGGCAAGTGAGGAATGTAGTGCTGGAGAGCCTGACTAGGCTGCTCACAGCTGCACAGCTGTGCAGCAAAGATGGTATCCATCCCTGGGCTGCGCAGCTCCAGGCCTAAAATCCAAACCACTATGCAATGCATCTCAGAATTAGTAACATTTGGTCCCTGGCATCAAAATCAAAAATTCATATCATATTTTTTTAATTTATTATTATTTCTTTGTTTAAGACAGGGTCTTACTCTGGTCATCCAGGCTGGAGGGCAGTGGCATGATCATGGTTCACTGCAACCTCAAACTCCTGGGCTCAAGTGATCCTCCTGCCTCAGCCTCCTGAGTAGTTTGGACTACAGGCATGGGCCACTGTATTAGTCTGTTTTCACGCTGCTGATAAAGACATACCTGAGACTGTGCAATTCACAAAAGAAAGAGGTTTATTGGACTTACAGTTCCAAATGGCTGGGGAGGCCTCACAATCAAGGTAGAAGGCAAGGAGGAGCAAGTCACATCTTACGTGAATGACAGCAGGCAAAAAGAGAGTTTGTGCAAGGGAACTCCTCTTTTTAAAACCACCAGATCTCGTGAGACTTATTCACTATTGAGAAAACAGCGTGAGAAAGACCCGCCCCCATGATTCAATTACCTCCCACTGGGTTCCTCCCACAACACATGGAAATTGTGGGAGTTACAATTCAATTTGAGATTTGGGTGGGGACACAGCCAAACCATATCGGCCACCATGCCCGGCTAATTTTTAAAATTTTTGTAGAGACAGGATCTTCCCATATTGCCCAGGCTGGTCTCAAACTCCCACATTAAAGCGATCCTCCTGCCTCAGCCTCTCAAAGTACTGGGATTAACCAGCACACCTGGCCCTTTATACTTACCTCATCACAAACATCATTAAACTTTTGCCTAATGTTTACTAAGTGAATTCCCTACTTTTACCATTTGTTAGATTTGAACCAGGTTGTTGGACAAATTAATAGAAAAATGGCCACTGCATCATCTAAAGCAGTGGTTCTAAAATTTAAATGGGCATCATGATCACTAATTAGAATTTTTAAAGAATTGACTCACAGGCTCCATCCCAGACCAATTAATTCAGAATATCTAGGAGATTCGCACCAGGACTATAACTCTACAAAACCCTCTCACTGATGCAGCCAAAAGATGACTCGGAAACATTGGCCAAGGGAGAGTAGGAGGTAGTCACAAAAATCTTACTGACTAGTACCATCGTTAGGGTGCCCATTCCAGGATTTGGCTCTCTGCTAAACCATCATCAGAAGTCACTTTATTATCACCATTAAGAAACCATTATGACAGGACAAAAAATAATTAAAGAATTTGTGATCAATGTACTCTCCCTATAATGCAGATATACATGAAAAACCAAGGTAGTATAGCATAGTTGTTCCAGATAATGTTGAGGCAGACTGCCTAGATCTGAATCCCAGTACTGCCATTAGGCAAACTACTTTGTGTTTCTGTGTACAAGGAAGATAACAAAGGTACCTATCTCACAGGGTTCTTGTGAGGCTTAAAGGAGATAATATATGTAAAGTTTACTGGTTTACAGTGTCTGGTAACTTGTAAGTATTCAATAAATGTGAGCTTTACCATAAATTAGATCACTGGATGAGCATAAAATGATAAGGAGAATCAGCATCACAATACTGAATAATATCAGACTATGATTAGTTTGATGCACTAATCATAAATAACAGATATCATGCCGATGGAACTTGAAATGTGTATCATTCACTGGTATTAATTCCCTGCCGCCATTTCTACCCTAGCCATTTCTACCCTAGTGATAGTCTTGCAACTCAAGTATGAAATTTAAGACACATTTCTTCACCTGAATAGGAAGAGCCTATCTTTGAATGCAGTACACTTCTTTTACTGGGGTAGGGTGAGGTGTGTGTCCAAGATTGACCAATGCTTTTCTATTATGCATTCTTTCCTTCACTTTATGTTTAATTTATGTTAAAAATAAACATATGTTTACATTCCAGTACAGTCCCACTGGTCTAGAAGCTATTTTGTTTTGCCGCTTCCCAATTCCTTTGCATATACCCTCTCTGATGCACTATTACATGTTGATTTCATAGTTGAACTATTATAGAGCTATCCTATTTCCTATTTTCAAGTTCTTGAGGGTGTCTACACAAAAGGTACAAGGTCATTTGTTGTTGCTATCTTAGATGTATGTGTGGTCCACCCAGGTCTCTTATGTATCACAGAGAGTGAGCTTCCCAGCTTTGATGTCAAAATATACAAATTTCTGCTCTTGAGTGCTAATTCTGCTATCACTGATGATAAAACAATAATAATCTTTTCTCTCATGTCTTTAAGTGTCTTCATTGATTAGTAATGCTCTGTTTATTAAAACTGACCAAAGGCTGACTTCCTTTGTTAAAATCTTTTAGGTGTGTTGGTTTTATCTGTCAACTTAGATGCATATTTTTTCTTCCTTCCTTAAGCAGTTCACAATCTTCATACACATTTCTTGATAATGCTCATTTTATATACATTTTTGTCTTGAAAACTCTTATCTGCTAACAGTTTATAAGTAAACTGTGGTCATGTTCAAAGAGAAGAGGCATCAGTTTCCTGCTTTTGATACCTATTCTTACACGTGAAACTAACACTAATTTAAAAAATCCAGAATAGCTGTAATTCGCTTCCATGCATCTTCTTGTTTTATTTGTATAATGAACTAATTATTCTCTTATGTATGTATATGTGTATATATATTACATAATGTGCCGTATATTGGCACGTTTCTTTCTTTCAAAGGCCTACACGAGTTGCAATTTCACAGAGAACCCTAAGGACAGCATTTTCTTCTACCGAGTACAACACTTTATTTTTTTTTATTTTTATTTTTTGCTAAGACAAAGCAACAGGCAGCGAAGCACACCTTGCTTGAACAGGGTTAGGAAAGAGTCTGGGGGTTTAAGCATGGTCTGGGGATCTTAGACTGAGCAAGCCAGCAGACCTTGAAAGGTCTAGGAAGGCAGAAAAGGTTACCCTACTTCTGTAGGCTGGCTTGTAGAGTCGAGTGGGACCCCTAGGTCATAGAGGCTGGTAGCTCAGTGGTAAGACTGGGATGGCCCCATTCCCCGTCTTACCAATATAAATTCCATGATCAATCAAAATAATCAATTCCTCACACATACCCTTGATAGTGTCACTCTTTTGTACTTCGACTCCCCTTCCCCTCTCTTCTTTGGTCATACTTGCTCAACTAAACTCTAATCCTGGCTAACTCTATCTAACTCTCTATGTACTCTGCCTCTACAAGATTACAGTGGAACTTTGTGGAAGAAAAACATGCAACCATGCTGACTGGTCTCTCACCTTAAATTCATGACCATGAACCTCAAGTGAATCCTTCATCTGCCAGGCTGTCATACTCAATGCCCCAAGTCCATTACGCTTCTTGCTAGTATTTCACACCTTCTCCTCTCTCTTCAAACCCCCAACATATCCTCCTCCATCCTCACTCTCCACTGAGGACCTCTATTTTACTGAAAACAAAAGGCAATAAAATAACTGAAACAAAGAGAACTTTTACCACCACACCTATTCACCTACTAGCATCTATACTTTGTGTTCTTGCCTATTTCCAGAACTTCATGTACCTATCTAAAGCCATCCTCTGCCCTATATGCCAGATCCTGTCACCATGACCTAAGAACACTGATCAAGTAATTGTCCCTTTTCACTTACATCTTTTGCCATCTACTGAAGATTCTTAATGACATTTAAACATATTTCCCCAGCTCAAAAAGAACCCCCTAAAACCACTTCTGTTGACCCTACTTCCCTTATTAGCTATTTATTTGCTTTCTTTTGCAGTAAAACTCCTTGACATAGTGGCACTTATTCTCTTTAACTCCTCTCTTCCCATTCTTTTTTCACCTTTTCTTTACTTTATTAAGATTAAATACTTATGTATTCATAGTACAATATTCAAAACCAGAAAATAAAAAAATTTCCAACTGCTGACATTATCCAGACTTTTGCTCCTACCACTTCATTGAAACTGCTCTTGAAAAGACCACCATGACCTATGCATTGCTAAATCTAGGAATCTATTCTCAACCCCATCTTACTCAACCCACTTAACACAGTTGATCCCACCTCCTCAACACTATGTGTTTACTTTGCCTTCCAGGACCTACTATTCCCATTGTCCTCCTATCTCACTGATTTCTCCTTTTAGTGGTACCTCAGGGCTCAGTCCTTGGTCCTCCCTTCAAACTTTCATTGTTTAAATAATGATGCATATGCTGATCATTCCAGGAGTCATAAGTCCAACTCCCAAATGGACATCTCCATTTGAATATGTTATAACTTACATTCCGTTTTCTTTTCATGACCCACATACAATTCATTAGCAAATATGAATTTACCTTCAAAACCTATCAAGATTCTGATCACTTTTTACCACCACCTTGATGCAAGCCATTACCATCTCCTGCCTGGATTACTGCAATGGCCTTCTAACAGGTCTGCTTTCGACATAGTAGTCTGAGTGATTCCTTTAAACATAAATCAGATCATATAATTCTTCTACTCAAAACCCTGCCTGAAACGGATCTTCATTTCTCTCAGAGTAAAAGCAAAATCCTTAAGATGGCTCTACAAGAACTGCGCCACGTGCCTGCGGCCATGCCCAACCCCATCACCTCTAACACTCCTTCACTCACTGCTGTCCAGCCACATGGGCCTCAGGTCATTTCTCAACAACTCAGTCACACTCCTGCTTTAGAGTCTTTAATCTTGCCATTCCCTCTACCTGAAACACCTCTCCCCTCAGATATCTGGCTAACTCCTTTACCTGGTCTTTGTTCAAAAGTCACTCTTAATGAGGCCTATCCTCAACACAAGTTTACTTAAAATTGTAACACCTCACTGGCCAATTTCCTTTACTCAGCTTGACTTTCCCCTTTTCTACAGTATTTATCACCTAATATAATACACACTATCATTTGTTTATTGCCTACTAGGTTGTTTGATGAGTCTCAAGTGCCCAGAATTGTATCTGGAAGACAAAGTGCTTAGTAATGATTTATAATATAAATGAGAACACAATGGTTAGGAATACTAAAGGGAACCAAAATTGTAGACCCTACACATGTTACTATTGCAGTCAAGTGGGAAAGAAGCTTACATTTTCAACTAAAGCAAGGGAGACGACTGAGTTTACTAGTAATTTTTTTGACAATTAAAGTAAGTTAGGCCAGGCACTGGTGGCTCATGCCTGTAATTCCAGCACTATGGGAGGCTGAGGTGGGAGGATTGCTTGAGTCCAGGAGTTCAAGAGCAGCCTGGGCAACATGGTAAGATCCCGTCTCTAAAATAAATAGGCTGGGCACAGTGGCTGACACCTATAATCCCAGCACTTTGGGAGGTCAAGGCAGATTGATCACTTGAGCCCAGGAGTTCAAGACCAGGCTGGGCAACATGGCCAAACCCCGTCTCTACACAAAATACAAAAAAAACTAGCTGGGCATGGTGGTGCACACCTGTAACACAGCTACTCAGAAAGCTGAGATAGGAAGATCGCTTGAGACTGTGGGGGATGGAAGTGGGGTAGGGAGGTTGCAGTGAGCCGAGATCTTGCCACTGCACTCCAGCCTGGGCGACAGAGTGAGACCCTGTCTCTAAATAAATAAATGTTAGTTCAATATAAACTAAAATATAACATTGATCATTTGCTATTAATTGAATGTCAGTGGTTCTGACATTATATATTCATATATGTATATATGAATACATATATATTCTGAGAAAATATAGCTTTGCGCCCTGGCTTTAAATTTTTGACATAATACTGGTAAAAATCAGTACATATAAAACACCAGAAGTCTTCAGAGTACCCAAATGAAAATTATCTTTTGTCTTTTTTACAAAGTTAGACTAATTGTTTATAATGCTTATATTGAACCCTTGTGCTAGACTCTTAAACATACCTGTATACTGATCATGATTTCTAACCATGAATATTTTTGTAGTTTAGGTTACACACTTTTTCTCAACCCAACCCTGATATCAGTTCCAACTCATTCTGACCAAGATATATTCTCATAAGTCAATATAGAAGATTTCACTCTTTTACGTCTGTTGTCCTTTGGTTGTGTGCTTTAGTGTCCACTATGACGTTTTGCTCAACTATTTAAACATTCCTTGCTATCTAATACATAGTTTCAAAAGCTAAACGAACTATACACATAACTTTAACATTATTACTAATAATAGATGACACCAAGATTAAGACCTATAATTATTCTTTCTTATTTAAAAAAAGTCATCAAAATGAACATTATAATCATTTTCATGAATGAATGACTAGTTTCTGCCAAAATACTGTTTGAAATATGTAACATCAGTATACCAATGACATCATTTCTAGTATATCTTAAAACATTATATTTGCACCTACTGAGATGATAAATATAATTTCTATTTTGGCCTTTTTTATTCCAAAACATGTTTTTTATTCTTATTAAGAATACATTATGGTAAAGTTCAATTTATATCTTTTTTTCATTAAAATGGCTATTCATTCAGAATCATAAATTCAGATCAGTATTGGGTACACAACAGTTACATAGTCATGAAAACAGGTTTATTTTATAAATATTAGCTATAATTTTAATTAACATGTTGCTTAAAAATTTTTAGAAAATAAAGCAGAAAAAAGAAAAATAAAATTAGGAAAATGTCATAACATATATTATGTAGATGTACCTGAGTCACATATCCAGGATTCAGAACTCAGCTCTAGCACTTACTGGCTGTTACTTAACCTCTCTCAGTCTTACCTCTGGAATAAGAATCTGAAATACTCTTCCCTTAAACCTTTTCATAGATTGATCCTTCCTATTATTTTAGTCCCTGCTCAGATGGCCACTTCCAAGAAAGACCTTTCTGTTTTTAACTCATAGCATTTGTCATGTATAGCACCTGAAATTCCACTTTACTTACTTATTGTCTGTCTGTCCTATTAGAATGTTAAGTTCTAGGAGGGCACAGACTATGCCTGTTCTATTTATTGCTGTGTTGCAGTGGCTAGAATGATGACTGGCACATGTAAAAGTTAATGAACATCTGTTGATGCTTAAATAATACCACCTAACTAGAAGGGTTCTTGGTTGGGTAAAATAAAACAATGAATGTAAAGCTCATGATGCCTCATATAACAAACATTCAATAAAACAATAGCTAATATTTCATTCCTTTATTAGCATTTATTTTAACAATTCTATGATTAAAAATACAAACTGCCTACTTTAAAGGATGCTAGTATTATAAATGTCTGATCCAAAGCAGTGCTTCTTAAACTTTAGTGTACCAGAGAATCACCTGCAGGGCTTGTTATTACAGATTTCTGGCCTTCTCTCCAGAGATTCTGATTCAGTAAGTCTACAGTGAAGCCCCAAAATGTGCACTTCTATCTAATAAGTTCCCAGGTGATGTTGCTGATGGTGGATGCAGCTAATTCAGAGGTTTCACTTTGAGTAGCATGTGTATGTAGTGTAAGATTTTCAAATATTGAATATCAAAGCATCATGAGTTTTCTGTACCTTAAGTACTTGTATATTTATGATATTTGTTCAAAAACAATAAATGGTTGGTAATACTTAAATTCTATCATCTTAGGGTTAAGTTATTCCTTCTTACATATTACCACATAAAATCGCCGAGTCTCTTATCACGTCAACTATATTATCAATTAATCCTTCTTTGTAGAAGTTAAAAAATTAGTATAACAATGTGTTTTTGCAAATAATTTATTCTTAGGTTAGGGATTACTGCCATAATCTCTGAAGAGCAGAAAGAGGAAAGAAAGCTTTCCTTTTCTGTACCACAGAATTCTATGTCTATAAACATCCTTTTTTTTTCTGAGGAAAGAATCACTAGATTCTTAGAGGGGCCTCTGACCACAAAAGGGTTAAGAACCAATACACTGTATTGGTCACATTTGAGCTGCTGGAACATAGCCCCTTTGTCCTTAGTTTAAGTAAAAAGTCTTTTGTTTTAAATCAACAACCTATACCACCCAGCAGATACATTCTAAGCAGCTTTAAAGTTTCTCTTTTCACCAGGGTCACCTGGTGAAAGAGACAGAACATCCCTTAATCTAGGGCCATCAATTTCTAGTCCCCAGTCCAGAGTCTCTCCCTCTCCCTAAGACCCCAAAGATGCCTATGTAGATCCTAGGAGACAGTTTTCCTAAATTTGTAATTCCTAACCAACAATGCCTACATGTTTCAAGTTACCTATCACTGCATTTGAATCTTTGAAAGGAAAAATACACAATAAAATAACTTATTAGCCATGCATTTATTCATTTAAGATTTTATTGAGACACTTAACCCAAATCTGCAGGTGGTAGGGCACATCTTAGAGGGGATGAGTTTTAAAGGATGGGTAACTGCTAGCTGGGCACAGAGGAGGCATTCATTTCAAGGAGAGCAAACAGTTGAACCAAGTATTTGTATGTGTGAGTGTTAGGTGGTAGGGGAGGAAGTGGTAGGCAGAAACCAGTCACCACTAAGTAGCTTTAATGTATCCTGAGGTCAACGGGATACCTTTAGGAAATTTTAGGGTGGGTTAAGAGTGATAATGATAAAGACAGTAAGCTGTTTTTAATTATTACCACTTGGACACAGTTAAGAATGTGCTGCAGTGGCTTTGGTGAGATGTAATAAGAATCTGAATGAGAACAGTAACAGAGGGATGAAACTAAAGGGACAGATTTGAGAAGTATTAAAGAGAGAGACCAGCAGGACTTTGCCCAGTTTTGTTAGTGAGGGTAAAGAGTCAAGCATGGAGCATATTTCTTGCTTGGATAACTGAGTGCTGGCATCCCATTTGATCATTCGTAGATATGCTGAGTTTCAGGTGGCTTCAGGACATCCAAGTGGACATCCAGTAGGATTCTGCAGCTAAGAAGAAAAGCGTAAGCCAAAAATAAAGATTTGAGAGGCCTCAGCACAGGTAGCTGAAGTCTCAGAATACATGAGTTCACACAGGAAAAAAAAAAGAACATACATCTAAATACATGTGTTAGAAATTTCTTCTTGGCATATAAGTTTGCTCAATAGTGTATACATTTCACATTTATCTTATTTACCACTCTACCCCCAGTGGCTAGCAAAGTGCCTGATATGTAATTACTTAGTTTAAATAATAAAATAATTATTTGTGCAGACATGTTTATTTCCTTTGGTTTGTTAGGCTATTAAAATTATCTCACAGCCATGTAAACCATGGTTAATGCGGATTTAGTTCATCTAGTATTAAGTGATCATTTAAAGCTAAAACTCATTTGTGTTTGAAAATTTTAACTCATTTAAAAATTTTATCTATTTATCAAATGTCCCTGGCCTACTGAAGGGAAGAGGTATTAGTAGGTAAGAAGAGTCTAAATATGTGGTTTTTATGATGCTGATTTGATCATGTCATCAAATGTGATCATGTGATATGATGATGTGATTTTTTGCATCTCCTGCCAGGACCCTGGGCTGCCCCACCATCTCTACCTCCTATTTCCTTTTGATGAGCTCACCTTTTGGGCCCTTCTTTCTATATCTACCTACTTCTACAGGGCAGCCCAGCAGTGCTGGATCCAGAATTTCTCTCTGAGAGAATGGGGAAGCACCAACCTATCTGGTTTGAGGTGAGAAAGAGTTGAAATGCACTTGCATAGTCATCTGAAAGAAGACTGAAGTAACTTCATTTACCCATATCAAAGCAGAGAGAGCTACTAATAATCCCTGCCTCCCACCCATAAGTAGTCCTCTGCACCACTACTCAAGGGCTACTATCTGCCTGAGATGGCATATGGTCTGTAGCTTCAGGAATTTCACAAAACACGAGTTTCTTCTGCATATCATTCTGCTCCAGTATCCTGATACACATCTGCTATTATATCATAGTCTGTCCTTCCTCATTGCACTTAACAGCATTTTTTTTTTTTTTTTTTTTTTTTTACATTTCTTAACTTGATTACTCTTTCTTCACTTGACCAGAGAGTCCAGAAGGGCAGGTTCTATGTCTGGTTTTGCACACCAATTATAAAGCTTCATTTATGCATTTCAAACTTGAATAGTAAGACGAAAATCTTTATATTTTCTTATGAGTCTCCATAAAACCTAGCGTTTACTCATTCTTAACTCATTCTTTGTAGCATCATAACATTGTAGACTTTGTATAAAATAAGTAAGATACTCTTTGTATATGCCTAAGTCAAGATCTAAAATATTATATGGTACTACAATGTCACTTAACATTTCTCACTTTCTGCCTTTCCATTTGGTTATTTAATTTTATAACCATCCCAAATCACAGAACAACTGTATCTATCCTACATTATATATAAGAAAACCTTGTAGAAGAGTTGAAACCCAGGATATCACCACATATCAAAGACCCAACCAAAGGCTGAGGAATACTGCTTTGCAGTACAATTTATGTTATCAATATTTGTTTGTATTTATATTGAGGCTTAGAGGCAAAAACTATCCCACTTGCAAAGTATTCTTTTATTTGTATAAATATATATTTGTATTTATTTGTATATAAATATTTCTAACAAGGGAATACCTTGCAAGTGGGATAGTTTTCACCTATAAGCTTCAATATAAATACAAACAAACAATACAGAAATCAAAGGACCTGAGAGCACATAAAGATTAGTGCTACCGGAATCCTCAGATCTCCTCAGAGATGCGATGGAGTACCTGACTCCATCATTTACTCTACTTTCTGTGTTCTCTGTTGACGATAAAGGCCACATTTGGGACTTACCATTGTATTTAAATCACATTTCTACAATGTTCATTCTCTCTCAGTAAAAGGGCTTGATGGCCACCAAGGGATCTTTCAGGCTAGGATGACATGTGCAGTTAAACTGTCATTTAATTTACCCCTTTAGGCTTTAAATTGCTGTTGAGAACATACATATATGTTATATATATATGTTATATATATGTTATATATGATATATATCGTATATACATATATACGATATATATCATATATACATATATGATATATATCAAATATATGATATATATAAAAATATATATATCCCTTTGCTTATAAGCTAATTGTTTATACTTCTATAATCTTTTGTTTTCCTTTTTTTAAAAGTTACATTTAAATTGGGATTTCACTATGACCCAAAGAAAATTTTCTTCCAAAGGACATATATAAAATTTGTAGCATATAGATAGAAATGCGAGAGTTTGTGCCTTCTTCTCATCATCCAGAGTTGACAGTTTTTGCTGGATGAATCCAAAAATTAAAAACAATGAACAAATGTTCAAAGAAGCAAAACAAAACACACTGTGGACTGGGTCCAGGTTCCATGCTTGGTGAAACGGGAAACGGAAGTAGAATATAACTCTAGGGTAGCCAATTGGTTCTTCCTTCAAAGTATGTCCACAATACAACCACCCTTCTCCACCTCCATTTCATATCTTATAGCCTTGGTTGGAGGCCCTATAATCTTTTAGCTTTCCTACAGTAATAGGCTTCTAACTGATTTGCTATTCCTTAAACTGGCCAAGTGTATTTCCATCTCAAGGCCTCTGTACTTAATTTTCCCTTTATACAGACTGCTTTCCCATATATCCACAGAGTCCTTCAGTCCCTTCAGGTTTCTGTTCAAATGTCATCATATCAAAGAGGCTGACCCACTATAAATTACCTCCATGTCTCCTATCTACAATTGTGCTTTGTTCTTTTTCATACTACTTATCACTAATATGGCATTTTTAAAATTAGTTTTCCTACTAGAATTATACTTCTTGAGCAGAGACTTCTTTATTATCTTGTGCCCTTCTTTATTATCTCATGCCCCAGCACAGTGCCTGACACACAAAGTACTCAATAAATGTCTGTTCGATGATAGTTAATTAACTGTTCAAGTTAAATAACAATACAGGGCAACAGCAAACTAGTAATACAAGATAGTACATAGTTAATTGCTAATTGAATAAGATGTGCCAGTAATACCCCAAAGGAGTATACATCAGCATCACTTGGGGAGCTCTTCCAAAATATGCATGCCCAGGCCTTACCACAAGACCCACTTTATCTCCCCAGGCAGGGTCCTGAGCATGCGTATGCTTAAATAGCTTCCCAGATGATTCTATTTTTTATTGTGGTAAAATAAATGTAACATAAATGTAACATAAAATTTGCCATTTCAACCATTTCCAGATTATTCCATCTAGCATTCATTTAAAACTACTGGTATAACATTAAGTCAGTTCAGCAGAGCAAGAATAGCTGAAAAACGAGGCTTACTAACAAAAATAAAAATTAAAAAAAAAGTACCATGGTATATTAAAGAGCATGGGTTTTGGAGTTGAATATAGGTCCACCACTCATTAGCTATGAGACTAGACAAGTTACTTATCCATTAGTTTCCACATCCATAAAATGAAGATAAATCTCTATACCTTCTCTCTCCCCCTACATCTACTCCAAAATGCTCCCAGGTCATTGTAAAGCTAAGATGAAATCACATATATCTCATTTTGGTGCACATACTAGGCATTAAACTATAACTTACTGGAATTACTTTCACTGAAATAAAAAATGAAATCATGCTGGCAGAAACACAAAGAGTATGTGTAATCTTGGCATAAGTGGCAGTAAAAAATGCCTCTTCCTCTTCCAATGGGACAGTTGAGAATGAAATCTGCTAGGAGCTCCACAGGTATACTACTACTAGAACAGTGATTCTCAAACTTAAGCATGCTTCAGAATCACCTGGAGGGCTTGTTAAAACAGATTGCTGGGCCCACTCTCAGAGTCTCCGGCTCATTAAATCTAGGGTAGGGCCTGATAATCTGCATTTCTAACAAGTTCCTAGAACTTGCAATGACACTGGTGCTGCTAGTCTAGGAATCACACTTTGAGAACCAGCGAATTAAGAGTCTGCATATCCTAAAAGAATCTCTGAGATTAATTCCTTGAGTATAAATTTTTAAAATAAAAAAACCTGAAATAGTTCACTTAAAAAAACCATAACTGATAATATGCTTATGATTTTTAGAATATTTTACAATGTGATAAGAGTCAACTACTGAGATTCAAATAAAAGCAAAATTTCATGCCACTGGCAACCCAATGACAAATATTCTGAAAATTCAAAGTTAAAATAATTATTAGAATACTCATTTCTTAAAAGTTACAACATAGATAAAAACAAAACATGGCAATTTTAAAAGAACAAAATGTACATATAAACTTTGATAGGTATAATAACCTAAAAGAATACTTACATGTATGGAGGCATTCCGTCACTGTTGTTGGCTTGATCAGATACCCTTTACAGATATAGCAGGTAATGTAAGGATTAAAATCTTTCACCAAGTGTTTCCTTTGGGTAGCCATTCGTGGCTAGTGAAGACTGGCTTTAGTAGTCTGGGCAAAGAGGGGTCCTAAGTAGATGAAAGTCTGATCCCAGGAGCTGGTGTGTCGTTCCCAGTAGGATGTCCTGAGGCATGAGAACTAGCATCCAGATTTATCATGAGATCGTTGATCATCACTCCTTTTGGTGGTTCCGCTTTCCCATGTCTGTTTCCAAAATCATTTCAAAAAGATGAGAGAAAAAAGCGTCAAATTCCTCATAATGTATTAATGTCATTCTATTAACAGCAAGTGTTACATGTTCCCAATTGGGTGAATAGGTGAATAGAACATATCCTTCATTGTATCATTAACTTGCAAATCTGCTATAATTCAGAATAATGACAAATTCATCCAGTCCTGGAACCTCAACTACCACCTCTATACTAATGACACCCAAAGCTATTAACTACAGTTTGATATCTTTACCTCTTCACTAATGCATTTTAACTATCTGCTTGACTGCTCTATTAGGAGTCCCTGCCAATACAAGTTAAAAGATTAAAAACTTAAGTAATTATCCTCCCTATCAAAATGTTCCCCATTTCCATTTTTAACCCTTCATCCAGTTACGAGTCAAACCAAGTTGATATCCTCTGCTATTCCATGCCCGGCTGCTCTACTTGTATATCACCTCTCCACCTGCAGTCCATCTTATATTCTGCTACGAGGCACATTTTATTTTGTGACACTTGGTTGGGTCTTCTTATCAACGAATGTCAGTGTCTTCTCTTTACAAACAGAAAAATGTTTCCCATTCTGTCACATAAGACCTTCTACAGGTTAACCTTAATATACCCTTCAACAACTTTCTTCAACCTGAAGGGATCACTCCTCTCCCACCGTCTCCTCTGCAGGTTCTAAGCACTCTATCCAACACGCCCTTTCTCTCCTCTGTCTGCATGCCACCTATCCTTCAAGCCCTTCTCCAATGCTATTCTCAGTGCAATCTTTCCCTAGTTTTTAATGCTTACTTCTTTCCTATTACATTTGCCTTTTATTTTGATTTATAGTTACGTTCATTCTTTACCTTCTTTGTTAGACCAAAAACTCTTCAATAGAAACTGGTCATATTTAGTAGATATATAACCTGGATAATGCTACTTTCCTGTCTCAGGTTTTTTTTTTTTTTTAACTGTAAAATATGTATCCTCTCAGAAAACACAACATGAAAGGTGTTGATTTTCCTAAGTGCATTCTATAAACAGGAACTTTCCCCCATCTTAGCTGTTAACTCATTGGTAAATATAAAGCAACCGGAAAGGTAAAAGGCATTCCATCAACACATACCCACTGCGAATGTGCAGGGAATAGGCTCTACGTGTAATCATCCTATCCTCTTGGGAAACCGTATTCGTGCGTGTAACAGAAAGCAAGCATAATTAAAAGACAGGGAATCAGGGTTCTGGCCCTTACCCCTGTATGACCTTCAGCAAACCGTTTCATATCTGAGCCTGGGTCTCGGCTTCCTCCTCTATAAGTTGGGATTAACTGCCTTGCCTTTCCCACAGGTTTGCCATGAAACTCCAAAGTAAGAGAAAGTCCTCTGGAAGAGGAAATGCACGGTCCCGACCTGGGGTGGTACTAAGATCCTAAGGCACAGAGCCCTGTGACCAAGACAGTTAAGGGAAGCAAGAACTTGCAATGACGGGGCGGGGGCAAGGGGGAACTTTTCTGCGTTCTCCGGCAGGACCCAGCGGTACAGCCCTGTGGGGTCCCAGCACAGCCGCGCCCGCCCGGCAGGTGCGCGGGCCCAGGCCCCGCGGGCGCGCTGCTCAGGCCGGGGAGAGCGAGCAGCCTTTCCCGGGGCCGGCGTCCGCAGCCGGCCGCTCTCCCCGCCGAGGTAGGCACAGCTCCGAAGCCCCCGCCCGGGTCGGTAGCCCCCTGCACCCGAAGGGCCCTCCCGGCTCCAGGCTGGGCCGGCCAGGGCAGGTGTCTGGAGGTGTCGCTCTCGCCTGAGGCGCAAACTTGGGTGAGGAGTCTGGCGTCCCTGCAGCTCCCCAGCCCGCCCGGTACCTACCCAGCGGCCGCCACCGCCGCCGCTCCTCGCCCGCCAGCGCGCCGGCCTCAGAGTGAAGGAAAGTGAAACAGAAACAGCACCCGCCGCGGCCTGGCCGGTCCCCGCGCCCCGTCTGCTCTCCCCCTGCAGGCGGGAGCGCGCCGGCTCTGTGGGGCCACTCGGCTCAGGCCCGACAGGGCGCGGCGGGCCTCGGGGCCCAGGTCCGGTGCCGCCTCCAAGGGCAACTCCACCCACTTCCAACCGGCGGCACCGCCCGCCCCGCCGCCCGGCCACGCCCCCGCCGCCCGGCCACGCCCACCACCACGCCCGGAGGCCGCGCCTGCCGCCTGCGCTGCTCGCAGGTGCAGCTGCCGCCCTGGCTCCCTGTGCTACACGTAGCTCTGGCCAAATATTATCTCGGTTCTTCTTATCCTCACCGTCCACCCCTTCGGTTGTTTACATCATAACAATGACTGGCATATTTTCCCTGGAGGGTTTAAAAGCAACGGTCAGTGATGAGACTGACGCACCCTGAGAATTTGTCTCTTCAGCTGCGTCTTCCCCAAGTCTGTCCCACCTGCGCCGAAGTGGGGACAAAGCCATCCCTTGATTTGCACCTTATCTGAAAATGACTGACAAACTTGTTACTGTAGTGTGGGTCCAGAGATCATGGTCGTTGACAACTATAAGCAAACGGGAACGTTGTGGAGGTTGAGGGTGGGGGGAGGGTGAGTGGTAAAGAAGCATTACTGTTTGCAACGTTCAAAACAAACAAAAACCCAGTACTCTTTCTAGTGGACTTTGAGATCTACAAGAGACCATTCACTGCAAAAACCTTCATTCAAAAATGTGTATTCTAGAAGCCAGAGCAGTGATGGCTTAAGAAAATGACAATAATAGAGGGTAGGGGAGACTGTCAATGCAAAATATTTGCTTTTTCTCCAACTGATAGGCGTTAACTTCTTACTAAAGTGATAGATGACTCTAAGTGGCAAACCAACAAACTTAACAACCGCTAGTCCAGCAGCCATACAAGTGTTCAAAGATCCATTTCAAATTTAAAATGCATCAAGCAGTAGACCAAGGCAGCTTTTTAAACTATCCATTTTATAATCAAACTTTGACATGTTTAAAAATTGCCATTTCTAATATCACAGCAGGAGCAATACATTTTCTGAAACAGCTTTAAATGACCACATTCGTATAGTCCTTTAAAGAACCATTTTCCAAAATCATACATGCCAATGTCCAAGCTGGGATCAACTTCATAAGTCGCAGCAATCACAATGAGTAAGAGAAAACAAGTGAGGTCAAATGACTTCATGGCAGTAGGATTACTCTTTATGCTTCATATCTTTCATTTCAGAGACTAAACAGAACAGTATGTGAAAAATCACACTACTTCTAGTGTGTTTAAAATATGCATTGGAGGATATTACTGTATATATACCACAATATATAAAAAAGACTTGGTATGTTCCTATTTTGTGTCTGAAACTATTTTAAATATGTTTTAAAAGAATAACAGTGGAGTCCAGGGGGCTTAAATGTGATTGGTGACCTATCACAAGTGCGGTTAATCAGTATTCCTGAAGGAAACGAGCTTGAAGGCGGGTTTTAGGATGACATATGTTAGCAATGAAGGAAGGGGTCACAAACATGTGATACAGCAGTACCTGAGGATGAATGTGGAGGTGGGGTTGCCAGAATGGACTTGGGATGAGGGAGAACTACAACTTTTATAAGGCAATCTGTGCTTTGTGTCTGGAGAGGCAGCAATAGTTTGCAGTTAAGTGTTCTGTGGTTTCGCCTCTGCCTTCTTCAGCAACCATTCCATCTCTCCCACCCCAATTTAAAAAAATGCACACATACACAAAATAAAAACAAGTTTAAAAACTCAAACATTTGTCTGGTTAAAAAAATAATAATAGGCCTGGCACGGTGGCTCATGCCTGTAATCCTAGCACTTCTGGAGGCCGAGGTGGGCGGATCATGAGGTCAGGAGTTTGAGACCAGCCTGGCCAATATGGCGAAACCCCATCTCTACTAAAACAAAAATCAGCCGGGCATGGTGACATGCGCCTGTAGTCCCAGCTACTCAGGAGGCAGAGGCAGGAGAATCGCTTGAACCTAGGAGGTGGAAGTTGCAGTGAGCCGAGATCGCACCACTGCATTCTAGCCTGGGAGACAGAGCAAGGCTCTGTCTCAATAATAATAATAAAATAAGAATAATAACAAAAGTAATGGTAAGAGGGAGTGTTGTGAAATGGCAACTTTCCTGTGTGATGTGTATGCAGATTGTAAGTATTAAAACATGGGACTTTCAGCTGCTGTGCTGCCTCTCCTTCTCCCCTGGGGCTCCTTACCAGTTACTTATCCTAGTCTAGTCCCTTGGTACTGCCAGTGGGGGCAGAGGACAAATGACGGAAGCTACAACATGAGGGGGTAGCTCTGATAACAAATCTCAAGTACCAGTGGGACCCTCAAGTAAACAAAGGCCTGGAAGCAACTGGATATAGGACCAGGGGAAAAAAAAAGGCAGGATAAAGGAATCATAGCTGGGAGTCCCCTTATCAATAATGTACTTCAGCTTTCTCATTTTATAGATGTAGAAACTAAGATCCTGAGACGTGGTGAATTCATAATTACAGAGCTGATTCTGGTAGAGCCAAGACAAAAACAAAGGTGTCAGCTTCAGTTTTCTTTAATACCTCTTGAGAGTACTTCTCAAGTCCCAGAACTTAAGGGAGGTCTGGTAAGAAACAGATTAGGGCTGCGCACGGTGGCTCACGCCTGTAATCCCAGCACTTTGGGAGGCCAAGGCGGGCAGATCAACTGAGGTCAGGAGTTCAAGACCAGCCTGGCCAACATGGTGAAATCCTGTCTCTACTAAAAATACCAAAATTAGCCAGGCTTGGTGGCAGGTGCCTGTAATCCCAGCTACTAGGGAGGCTGAGGCAGGAGAATCACTTGAACTTGGGAGGTGGAGGTTGCAGTGAGCCAAGATCGCGCCATTGCACTCTAGTCTGGGGCACAAGAGCGAGACTATGTCTAAAGAAAAAACACACAGATTAACTTTTTTTGTTGTTGTTAAACAAGGAAGAAAGAAAGGGAAGAATGGATGAGGAGAGGGAGGGAAATAACTGTCTAGATGGCACTTAGGAGTGAAGTGGCCACTGGTGATTCCCTATCAAAGAAGCATAATCCCAAAGTGATAACTGCTGCATTTGAGTATTGGCCCAGACTCTTCCAGAGAACCACAAATGGCTCTTAATAACTCCTGGAACTACTTGGAGCTATCTGTATACCTAACAAATGTTTTCATTACTTTATATTTTATATCTAGATTTTTATTTCATTTATGGCTGGGCAATGGGTGGGTAGGTAGTTCTATACTAAAAGTTCACATTCCTTTCCTGCCTAATAAATACATCATTAATTAACTGACTTTTAATGGCATAAAGTGATTGAAAAATGTGGTTATATATTTACATCTCCCTGAAATATTAAATAAGGTGAATTTTTCAGCTGGGTGCGGTGGCTCATGCCTATAATCCCAGCACTTCGGGAGGCCGAGGCGGGTGGTCACAAGGTCAGGAGATCGAGACCATCCTGGCTAACACGGTGAAACTCCTTTTCTACTAAAAATACAAAAGATTAGCAGGGCGTGGTGGCAGGTGCCTGTAGTCCCAGCTACTCAGGAGGCTGAGGCAGGAGAATGGCGTGAACCCAGGAGGTGGAACTTGCAGTGAGCCAAGATCGTGCCACTGCACTCCATCCTGGGCGACAGAGCGAGAGACTCTGTCTCAAAAAAAAAAGGTGAAATTTTCATTATTATAAATTATGTACCTAAGAATGCTGTTTAATATTTTAACATAGAGTGTCTTTAACATATAAACTACTCTCTGTAATATAAAGGTCTTCCTATAGAGATTACAGAAAATATTACAATTGAACATAAATATCCTATAAGGCCCACATATATTTATTTTATGACCATGAATATTATAACTCTAAATCTATGTTTGCCTAAAATCAATGATGTATGAATGGTAGGGGGAACAGAGAATTGAAGAGAACTTCCAATCACCCTTGACCATGTCTTTCTCTTACTGCACCCCTCTCCCACAATCCAATAATTTTCAAGGACTTCCCTTGCTAAATGTCTCTTAAATCCCTCTGTTTAGCCACCCTGTTCAGATCCACTATCATCTCTACTCTCTATCACTCAATGAACTCTTAAGTAGTCTTCCTACAGCTCTTTTCTGCCAAAGCATCTTCCACAGCACAGCCAGAAGACTCTTTCTAACTATATAAATGAGGGTCATGCTGCTCTCTGGCTTTAAAAAACCTCATTTCTAGAATAATGCCCAAACACTTAATAAGGCCATTTCAAATCCCTGTCACTTCTACAGCCTCCCCACCCCCACTTGAACTCTGTGCTCCAGCCATAATGTACCTCTTTACTCTCTAGCTAGATAGATAGGTCTTCTTCCAAATGACCACCCTGTCTTTATCCCCTCACCCTTCCCCACCTCTGCTAAGTCTGACCAACCCTTATATATCCTTTCACGTATTAGCTGATTTCAAAGGTCACCTTCTCAGGCACCTCAAAGCTGCCAAAGAGCCTCCTGTATACACACAGACCATATTCATACATTAACAACTCACATTTATCCTCTCAAATCAAATATCACACTCTTAGATTATCTGATTTACTCATCTGGATCTCCCACTAGAGTGTAAGCCCAGTGGATCCACTGCTTGGCTATGCATATCCCCAGCAGAGTGGATGGCAAAAAGCAAGTGTTCAAACAAATATTTATTGAAAAACTGAATAATTTGCAGCATACATTCTAAGAACTGATCCTATGTATTCTTTCTTGGGTTTCTTCTTGAAGGGATCCTTACAAAGGATGTGTTAAGGCATAATCCCTGCCTTCTTGGATTATTAATTAAAATCACACCAGGGAGTACAGACTTATCCACAAGAAACAATTATGGAGCAATATATCAAAATTTATTAATAAAGTGTTAAATGGAACATGATCAAGTGACAAAAACTCTAGTTGAAAGCAGCAGCACTATGGGTGGACAAGAAATTAGTCCTAAATGCCTTCTCTGCCAGTTACAAATGAATGGTAATGGCATATGAATGATAAATGAGAAGGCCAGAAGAAAAGTGTGTTAGCTGTCAACTCCAGCCTCACCATGGCCAGTATCAGCAGCTCTGAGAAGAGGCCCTGAAGGGCTGGGTGGTGAGATTTCCCCATCCCATCTCTTTTCAAAGACAGCAAACTCAGCAAAAGAGGGCACATTTGAAAATAAGAATATTGCAGCTATGGGAACTAGATCAGACCTGACAGCCTCCTAAGGAGAAGGACGTATGTTTTTATTTCTATGACGTTAAACAAGGGAATTTAAGCTGCTGATGGGTATTCTCCTTTTCTAGCTTTTTGGATGACTATTATATGCATATTAAGAAGAATCTGTGAACAGGGAGTTTCACACAAGTCACCAAGGCCGAGGTCTGTTCACTAACTATATTACTGAATTATAAAAGACGAGGCTTTGATACCAGATCATTTCAATATCACCATTTTAATTTATTAAATTAAGAAAACTGAAGAAAAATCCAAGGAAGAGGAGTAATTACATGTATTCATTTATGCTTTTAAAAAGCAAATTTTGTCAAGAACTGTTGTTCCTGATTTGAACAACTTACAATGATATTTCACTTCCCAAAAATGTTAGGAGGGTGATGCTTATTACAAGTACTGATGAGGAAGTTAATTAGAACTTCATGATTATAAATTCATAGATCACCATTTCCTTTACAATATTTCCGTAACCATTGATTCTTTAATCCTTTTTACCAGTGAAGTATGAAATTTTAAGTAGAACACTCATTTCTACTAGAAAAGGAAAGACTTTCTGTAATAAGAACCTGAACTTATAAGCATAAATTGATTTTAAAATAACTGTATTCTGGCTTATATCCCCATTTGGGGATTCTCTGCTCCTTCCTTTCAATTTAGTTTAATCAACCTTTCTCTGGATCCATTTCCTTCCTTGTCTTCCTCAGACCCAATGCAATCATCATTAACTTTCTCCCTGTTCTGGTTATCATATTTTATCTGCAGTTCTTTAGCCTTTTGGCCGTTCATCTGTTTGTCGTGCTCCTCTACCAGTGTGCTTGTCTGCAAATCAGTACTACTAAAAACATGCTATCCCGGTCAACTGGGTTCTTAATGCTGCGTTTTGTTTTGCTTTGTTCTTATAATTACTCCTGTATATGCCTGGACAAATTGTCTCCTATTTCTCATAGCCATGATTTTGAATTTGATCAGTTCCCTTAAATTCTCTAACCCAGAGGTAGCTAAGTATAGTCCCTTCTTCTGGTAGCAACCTCCCTGGAGGAAATTTCCCCTCCCCTACAACATACAATTGTGCTGCTGCTCCAGCAGTCCCATGGCCGTCTTCTCTCTGTGCATCTATCTTCGCATGACATTCTCCTTGTCTGTCTGTCTCTCCTTTTTTTTTTTTTTAACATATATTTTTTAAGACAAAGTCTGTCTCCCAGGCCAGAATGCAGTGGTGCAATCACGCCTCATTGCAGCCTCAACCTCCCAGGCTCAAGTGATCCTCCCACCTCAACCTCCAGAGTAGCTGGGACCATGGGTACATACCACCATGCTCAGATAATTTTTGTATTTTTTGTAGTGACAAGATTTCACCATGTTTCCCAGGCTGGTCTTGAACTTCTGGGCTCAAGCAATCCACCCACCTTGGCCTCCCAAAATGCTGGGATTACAGATATGAGCCACCATGCCTGGCCTTTTCCTCTTCTTATAAGGACATGAGTCTTACTGAATTAAGAGCCCAAACTGATTATACCTTCAAAGAATATGACCTTTCCAAATAAGGTCATATTCACAGGTAGCAGAGGCTAAGACTTCACCAGTTCTTTTTGAGAGACTCAATTCAACCCATAGCAGGCATTTAGAATAAATCTGTTTAATGTTTAACATGTAGTACATAACACTTAATGTGGCACATTAAAATAATGAAGTGGCTGGGCATGGTGGCTCACGCCTGTAATCCCAGTACTTTGGGAGGCCGAGGTGGGGACCTCTCTGAGGTCGGGAGTTTGAGACCAGCCTGACCAACATGGAGAAACCCCATCTCTACTAAAAATACAAAAAAGAAAAAAAAAAAGAAAAAAAAAAGCCTGGTGTGGTGGTGCATGCCTATAATCCCAGCTACTCGGGAGGCTGAGGCAGGAGAATCGCTTGAACCTGGGAGGCGGAGGTTGCAGTGAGCCAAGATCACGCCATTGCACTCCAGCCTGGGCAACAAGAGCAAAACTTCATCTTAAAAAAAAATTTTTTTTAATGAAATAAAATAATGAAGTTAATGAACAAAGTACAGAAACATACTTATAATATCTGACACAGAACTAATTTGTGCTACTTGTAGCCAAATAGAGGTTACTTATGCATACGTATATACAAATACATACAGATATATCCACACATATGTAGAGTATATTTTAAGGACTGCACAGACTAAGAAATAGATGTGTTCCTTCAAATATTAGTCATACTTTTGATTCATCTCTCTTACATTTTCTAAAACACAAATAGAATTAATACTAATTAATAACTATTCATGCCAGTAAATGCATGGCATTATATTTGGAGTGCTAAACAAGAAACTATTAGCATTTACAAGCTTTGACCCTTGAAAACACTTAAACTGCACATAAGAACACTCTCTATACCAGATATGGAAACATCTATAATATTCAGAATAAGATACAGACGAGCAGCGCTTAGGAAGTATAACTTATTGTGATTAAAATGTGAGTGTAATATTATCCTTTGAAGATGGTATTTCTTCATATAGTATAACACATATGCTGTACAATTTTTCATAGTTTCTACCATGAAGATGAGTCTGAAGCACAACTTATTCAGATCTTTACAAAGAGAGGAGACATCAAGCTTAATAAAAATCCAAACGTCCCAATAGATGAATTAAACTTACTTCCAGCTAAGAAAAAAATCTTAAGATTAAAGAAAAACTTTAAGCAAGGGTATTAAAACAGAACTCTTGTTTTTATAGAGAGCTGCCTTCCATTTTCTTACCTACCCAAAGTGTGAACACAACAAACAGAATTAGTGGGCATGCGTTATAGAAGTTAGGCTGTACAATTCTTCTAGGGATATTCATAGTTATTTTCCACTTTGATTTATTCAGATTCAATTCTCTATCTCATTCCTGTCAGTAGAGTAGCCTCTGAGTATACAATATAAAATATTAATCAAGAAAAAAAAGCAAACCAAACTTCCAGCTACTTCTGGTCAAATAATTCATTTCCTCTAACTGACCAGAATAAGAGTTCTCTGTGACTATTAAGAGACACTCCAAATTACTCTGATCTAATTATTTCTCAATGGCTTTTAAGCATGTTCATCAAATCTGTGAAATGGGGATGTAGTGAAAACAGAATGGCCTCATGCAACACAATATTTCATGTATCTTCCCGTGCCTTCTTGAACAGTGTGGAAATTATGGTGACACCTCTAACACCTCATTTTCAACTGCATGAAGGCAAAAAGCAACTCTACAAAGCTTTCTCAAGCTTCAATTAACCTATTTCTGAGTATCAGCTTTATGTCTCTCCCTTGCCTAATAACTAACAATGGAATGAGCTCTTCCAAGTACACAGTATTTTGCTAAGCATTTTATATCATTATTGTTTCATTTATTATTTATAGCAATCCTGTAAGATAAATAAAATCATTGTCCTCATCTTATAAATGAGGAAACCATGGTACAGAGAGTTTGTGCAACAACCAGTATCACACCGCTCCTGACAATGGAGGCAGGAGTGGAACCTTGTGGTGCAGCTCCTGAACCATTCTAGTGCTGCTCAACCACCTTCCAGACCACTTTGCTCTGCAGCACTGCAACACCTCTGGGGCCTGGTTCCAGATAAGCTCTATAACCTTGTCTCCACTCTTTCCAAGACAAAGCCTCTACTTTAACAACTCGACCAGGCTTCTCACTATCCCTTGAACACAGTGTGAATGCCAACCTCTAGCTTCTGCTTACACTGAGCCCTACTAACTGGAATGCTCTCCCTCCTCCTCCTCTTCCTCTTCTTCACTATTCAGTTGCAATTCTACATCTTCCTAAACTGTTCATTCTTCCAGCCTTTCTACCTCATAGGAATCTCTCTTCCTATGAAGATAGAAGAACTGCTGGAGACCCATGAACCTGATACCTAAGTTGGTTTTGGGTCAGTACTGACGTTTCACATTTATGCAGATCAGGTCCGATAGTAAATGACCTGAAGGCAGGGACAAGTATGGCCCCTGCAAAGGTCTGGGAACCTGGCAGGAGTTCAACAAATGCTGGATAAATTTACAATAACCTCTATAGCAATACAGTAAGAGTAACACAGCACACTGTCATGGAGAAACACTCTAAGAAATCATTTCAAGACTTTCAGACATTAAAGGCACCACCTAACTTTCCAGAATATTCTTTAACTTAACAACTAATCCCCCCAGCTAATCACATCAACAAAGTATGCATTTCTGTGTCTGGATATAGCCAAGTCAGTATTGTATACATGTGCATAAACAGCCAGGGACTGACATTCAAGCAATGTTCAAACATAGCATTGGAAATCTAATGAGGAATTTAAGTTTGCTGTAATCAAAATAATGCTTGCAAAAAGCTGATAAGATGGGAAATAAAAATAAAATGCACTCCATTACCATTCCTTTTTGCTTTGGACCACTTATTTAACAAATGCCTCCTGGTACCTAATGCATGGTAAACACTGCTTTAGGCACTGTAAAGGATGCTACTATAGTCCTTCTGGGTTTTTGTGTGAAGCAGCTCACCTGTCTGATAATTCTTCGTGTCTGAAAAAATGAGATATTCTTCTACATTTAAATGAGAGAATAGGTGAAACTTGCTCTCCTACTTACTACTATCTCCAGAATACATACACATTTTTGAGATGTTACAGTGATTTGAGTTAGAACTGGAAACATTTCTGATTTTCAGTGATTATTTTTAAATGTAGCTCACAGGACAGAGAAAGGGAGAGACCAAACAACAGAAAGCAGGTGTGGTCTTAATTGGTACCAGGTGTCTAGCACTAGAGGCACTGAAACAGCCTTTCTGCTTTCCACCAGGTGTTGGCACCCAGCCATGACAAAGCCCTTGAATACTGTGCTAGTGGCCTCCACAGACCACAGGTTCTGCTGGCCCTGTGCTTCTATAGCAACCACTGAACCTCTGTGGGCCAATGATCTCTTACCAAGCTAAGCCAGTTATCCAGTTTGACATTAGAGATCTTCAGGTGGCATCCTCTAACAAAGATGACTTAAAAGGTACCACCTTGTGTATCTTACTAGATTTGCAGGTTAGCATTTAGAAGTAATGAGTAATGTTTTCACAGTGTGGCTACGTTAAACACCCTTCTATAACATATACATAATTGAGAGATGGGGAATAAAATTCATACTAACTCCACATCGTTCAATGAACACAAGTGTGTGCTGTGACCAGGAAGCACAAGAGCTGTAGCACTCTCTGGCAGAAAAAGGATCTCAAGCAGCAGGTGGACTGTTTGCTATAAGGGGAAGGGCATCCAAATCTCCCAGCAGACAGGTGGGGGCCCATCCCTCTAGGAAGAAGGAAGCGTTAAGGGAGAGCAGTGGGGCATATGAAGTTGCAAATCATTTATATGTTAGAAATTGCCCAAGCTTTATAGATTGTCTAATGCTATGATCTGCTATCCATCTAAATGCCAGAAGTGGCAAAAGACACAAATGGTAGAGATTAAAAGGAACAAATAAACAACAAACAAAAACACCCATTTGGGAATCTCAATTTCCACATGTCAATCTCATTGAGTTGACACGTGCATATTGGTTCCACATTCATTCATTCATTCCCTAATGCCCATTGATAGCTACTAAACTGGGAGACTCTACTCCTATCAGCAGATATCCTCCAATTCCTTTCTTCGTTTTTCTTTTTTTTTTTTTTTTTTTCTTTTTTTTTCTTCGAGACGGAGTCTCGCTCTGTTGCCCAGGTCGGACTGCGGACTGCAGTGGCGCAATCTCGGCTCACTGCAAGCTCCGCTTCCCGGGTTCACGCCATTCTCCTGCCTCAGCCTCCCGAGTAGCTGGGACTACAGGCGCCCGCCACCGCGCCCGGCTAATTTTTTGTATTTTTAGTAGAGACGGGGTTTCACCTTGTTAGCCAGGATGGTCTCGATCTCCTGACCTCATGATCCACCCGCCTCGGCCTCCCAAAGTGCTGGGATTACAGGCGTGAGCCACCGCGCCCGGCCTCCTTTTTCTTTTTAATCTAATTTTTTTTGTAAAGACAAAGCCTCACTATGCTGTCCAGGCTGGTTTCAAACTCCTGGTCTCAAATGATCCTCCTACCTTAGCCTCCCAAAAGTTCTGGGATTACAGGTGTGTGCCACTGTGCCCAGCCCCATCCTCTGACTTCTGACAGATGTCTAAAGAGGAAGTCCCTCACTTGTAAAGTTCTCTTCTTCTACAAGGAAGATTCCATCAATTAACATAATTAATAGACTAAGGGAAAATATTAGTCAGGTAACAGATGAGTAAATGAAATTATGTCAGAAAAAAGGATTAATGATAAAATGTAAACACATTAAACAAAGTTACTAAGCAACACAAAATACTATGTATATTTGGAATTCTGAATAAATGAATTGAATGTAACAGTAACAAACTACAAATGGCCAGAGTGCCAACAACAATCTGCCTATAAATTACTTCTAAAGGGAAAAAAAGTATTTGACCAAAAGCCACTGAAACCTACCAATGGCAGAAAGCTCACACTCCTGTAGAGCAAGAAAAATGAGAATTTTCTTTTTGATTAGGAGAGTTTAAACTGCCTAACTTCCCTTGGTACCAATAAAGTTTGGTTTGACTAACAGAAAACCAGTAGAGACACATCCAACACTGAAGGTGTCACTATTTCCCATGGTCCCAGAAACCAGGAACTGAAGCCAGCTCCCTGAAAGTTCAGGATTTCAAGAGAAATGCAAAATAAGCATGAGTGTGAGGCCAGCATTCCTCATTATCATGATTTCTGGGACTCAAGCAGGTGGGGTACACATCCTCTCTCCCCTATGCCTACCAGAGTTCATATATTTTCCAAGAGATCATTCTCTTCCATGATAATGAGGTGAATTTTTCATACTAATACAGGGAGAGCAATGTGTTTTGGCTCTTTCCAATGAGCCCATAGATGCCTACAGCTTTGTTACTTCAGCCAGGGTCCACAGATCAGCCAGCATCAGCAGGGATCTTGTTAGGAATGCAGAATCTGGGCCCTCAGGTGATTCATACACAATTAAAATTGAAGTGGCACTGTGAATGGACTAAAAATGTCTCTTACTCCCGGATTAGGTATTTCTCTCCCCAGATGCCAAGGATCAGTGCAGTTAGGCCAACTCTAGGACAATCTGAGCATCAAAATGAGCAAGAGGAATGGATCATACACACTGAATTTAAAGAAAATAATCCATGAGTCCATATTTACAACAAGCAAGCAAATAAACAAATGGGAGGAAAAGAAGAATCCTTCTTTTCAAGAGAATGTCAACTTATGTAAGGAATGAAAGAATTATAAAATCACTATTTTATAACCATGTTATTAATTGATTCAGGCAAGAATCTCCAGGGATCCTAAAACTATTAAGAAAAAATTGCTGGGTAGAGGATATTTACATAGTTGTACAGTGTCTCTCGACAGAGATAGTCTAATTTCATGTAATTAAAATTGATACTATAAATTTATGAATTACAAAGGGGAAAAGGTACCCCTACAATGGAGCAATCCATTGGATGCTACCTAAACAGTGATTGCATCTAACAGCACTAATAATGGGATAATCTGACATTATGTACCTGCTGAGATGATGCTCTTAGGAGGATACATTATCACCTATGTAATGTTTCTGCCCAAAATGTCTATCCTGACTATAATCATTTGGAAACATAAAATAAGTCCACATTGAGGGCCATTTTACAAAACAAATGGCCTACACTTTTTGAAAATATTAATGTCATGAAAGACAAAGAAAAATTGAGAAAGATTAAAGAAATTTGATAACTAAATACAGTGTGTGATTTTAGACTGTTTACTGAATTGGGACTTCATTATTGTTACGGTTATAAAGGATATCATTGGGACAGGTCTGCACATTAGATACTATTATAACAATGCCATATTTCCTGAATATAGTAACTGTATGTCCTTTCTTAGGTGATACAACCTGAAGTATTTAGAGGTAAAGGGTCATGTCTGCAACTATTCTTAAATGGTTCATTGAAAATTGTAGTAACATGTATATACAGAGATAAAGCAAATGGGGCAAAATGTTAAACAGTGAATCTAAGTGAGAGATATACGGATGTTCATTGAAAGATTTTGGCAACTTTTCTGTAGATTTTGAATTTCTCAAGAAGCTGAAAGTAGAAAAAATGTGTAAGATCAAAAGTAATGCAATGACAAATGGCTCATCTCACAACTCTCTAGTAGAAGAATACTACCACCAGCTGCACATCCCTCACCAAAGTGGTCTTAAACTTAAATAAAAGTAAATGATAGGCTGAAAAAATTCCTCTTTAAAAGGTTTTTAGGAAAAGGGTCTTTCTATGCTAAAAGCCCCTTCTTAGAAAATGCACCTCCTAATTCCTTCTACAGTGGGCGAGGCTATGTTCTCAGCACAGGAAATATAGCACTGAACCAGACAAAGCCCCTGTTCTCACGGACCTTGCATCCTAGAAGGAAATAGGCAATAAACAAATAAATAAGGTCATGTAGTGATCAGTGCTGTAAAGAAAAATAAAACCAAGAGGGACTCTGGGGCAGTGCTATTTAAAATAGGGAGGTGAGAGAAGGATTTAGTTAGGTGACATTTAGCACAGATCTGAATGAGGTAAGGGACTAAACTGTGCAGGTAACTGGGGGAAGAGCGTACCAGGCAGAGAATACACAATGTAAGGCAAAGGCATGGAGGCAGGATCATGCTTAGGTGCAGATAGCAACAGAGAAAGCACAGGAAAGGAAGTCAGAGACCATGCAGTCCCCCACAGGCTGTTACTGAGACTTCACCCTTTACTCTAAGCTGACTGCTGCCTCCTACCATTTCTACCTACCCAGTGTTCTTGCTCCAGACTGGCAACTATGCAGTTGCATAATGAAGGGACCACTGTGGGGAAATGCAGCCAAGTGTACTCTCCTAAGTGCACTGAGGCTCCATGCAGGCTTTCCCTATCTGCTAGTTTCATCCCAGGTGATATCTTCCTCATACTCTGCCTAATTCCTTTCTCCCTCCCACTCTCTTTTAATCCTCATTCAAAGGCATCAGAAATTGTCTCTTTGGTTTTTGAGATTAAAAAAAAAGTGGCTTATCATGGCTGACATGTTGAAGAGTCTTATTTATAACATCTAGTGCTTGTTTTCACAGAAGTCACCATCCTTTCCAAATGTTACATCTGTACCTACCTTTCCATTCTCCTTTAATCAAACCTGCTTTTTCTCCGAGTTCTGCTGTTCAGCTCCTTGACGGCAGGAGCTACCCTGTTCATTCTTTCATTCCTAGTGGCAAGCACAGACTTTGGCACATAGTAGTTCTCCGATAAATATTTGTGGCACTATTTTATAAATAAAAGATTAAAAAGCCAATTTATTGTTAGGCTGTTGCCAAAATTTGCCCAAATGTTGGTATACCATGTCTTTTAGTTTTTTTGTTTGTTTTTTGACAGAGTCGCGGTCCGTCACCCAGGTCGGAGTGCAGTGGTGTGATCTCAGCTCACTGAAACCTGTGCCTCCCGGGTTCAAGCAATTCTCCCACCTCAGCCTCCCGTGTTCAAGCAATTCTCCCACCTCAGCCTCCCAAGTAGCTGGGATTACAAGCATCCACCACCGTGCCTGGCTACTTTTTGTATTTTTAGCAGAGATAGGGTTTTGCCATGTTGGCCAGGCTGGTCTCAAACTCCTGACCAACAAATGACCACAAGTGATCCACCTGCCTCGGCCTCCCAAAGTGCTGGAATTACAGGGGTGAGCCACCACGCCCAGCCTCAGTTTTATTAACTGTAAATATACTGTCAATGATTCTGATGTGGTCCGATGCAGGGCAAGGAATCTGGCATAAAGTAGAAACTCTCTAGGTGTTTGATGGATAGAGGAATAGTTCAATGGACAAACACAGATTAGATAGGACTTGTGTGGCCTGGCCTGAGAAACTCATCATTTATAATGTTTACAACATTGTTTCTTCAGGAAAAATGTACTTTGAGCTTGGCTCAGTTTATGAATGAACGCTGGAATATACCCTTGTCACTTAAAATACTAATATCTAGGTCTATGGGTGTGTTTTTATTCACAGATTATCTGTGAAGGATTTAGAGTGCCACGTCTGACCTGGGGAAGGGTGGAAGATAATTTGCTCCATGTTAGCTGGGCCGTGTGTGTGTGTGTGTGTGTCCAGTCATTTAGAAACCCAGAAAAAAGAAAAATCGTTCCATAATAGCCTTTCAAAATATTTGGGAACAATTGCGCTCAAGGCTGGATGACAGGGAAAATCAAAGAAATGAAGATTTTGCCCAACTTAGTGACTCTAGTGAGAGAGATAAATATATTTTATGCATTTAAAATAACTGTATTTACATATCTAATCTCACTGGACCATAAGAATTAGCAACCTAAACTGTGTTACATATAACTTAGTTTACTCATAAAATTTTAAAAAATTGTTTATGTAGATAAAAATTACAAATTTGCTAGATAGTTTACAGATATATTTCAATTTAAATATAGCTATGTATTCCAAATTTTAAGAAACATTATTTCTGGTATTTTATGAGAAAGAAGTTAAAACTTGAACATCAAGGAAATCTTTCACCATTGTGCCCAGATAAAGGCATTTATTACATTTCTTGATCTTGGTGACCTACACAGAATCAAAACAATACCCAAAGTACTCATTTTCACAAAAGACAGTGAGGCAGTGAAAGGAGGAAGAAATCTGAAGAAGAGAGAGAAAAAGGGCAGGACGTGGCAATAATGAGTTGGCAGTGGGGAACTTTTGTTATGTACAACTATTTTTATCCTCAGAGCTCTCCTTCTTTGCATTTTCTGGGTTCTCATGTTTATCATCTTCCAAGACTTGAGAACCAAACATTTGTCTGGAAAGGAATGGCTCTACCATTTCATATCCACTTATTCTGTGTTTTAGTAACTTCCAAACAGGCTGTTTGTGAAAATGTGCCTGGAACACAATAGTAAATAAAATAGACCTGGCCTGGTCATCATAGAGTCTGCATTCTAGAAGAATTAAATTAATATCTATGAAGTAAATATTAGTTAAAAGTATATAAGACAGTTACTTGAGTGCAATCATCTAACAAAAGGAGGAAAGACTAATGTAAGGGTTTTTTTTTAAATGAAAACCTTAATTCAGATTAAGGTTTAATTAAAACCTAATCCAATAAGTTCAATTTATTATCCAATGCTGGAATCCCATCTAAGACATCCCTAACAGCCCTCTTCCCTATTGCAAAGCTTGTCAGAATATTTTATGAGGAGTAAAGAGTAGACATAAACTTATGCAAATTAAACATTATATTCATAATTCTAAAAGTTTAATCTTTATAAAAGCAAATCACTATTCAAAAACATGTTCTCTAAATGTTATCACTACCTTATCTGTAGTTCTGGTTACAGATATTAGAACATTTTTATGATTTTGTGGTGTCATGCTTCACAAACTCAACAATAAACATCAAATAGTTGTACAATCACTTATGAAAACTGCATAAAAGTGTTAAATTAGCTTACACTGACATAACGCTCATTTCAGAAATGTGGGCCTGACTGAAATCATTAGGTTCACAAAAATTAAACAGCCTAAAACAATCAGGTTTAAAACTTTTAAATATATACACTTGTTTTTGTTGTTGACAAATTTCCTATATTAAAAGAATAAAGGATCTATAAAATTTATTTCAATTTCAAATTTACAATGGAAATGAAAAATGTTAAGAGAACGGAGAAAACAATAGGAAAGAAAATTT